>NC_000001.11:238002303-238153818 GCF_000001405.40 Homo sapiens
CCATCGTCTTAGCCCAAAAACTCCTTAAGCTGATAAGCAACTTAAGCATTAAGTCTCAGGATATAAAATCAATGTGCAAAAATCACAAGCATTCCTATACACCAATAATAAACAAACAGAGGGCCAAATCATGAGTGAACTCTCATTCACAACTGCTACAAAGAGAATAAAATTCCTAGGAATACAACTTAACTTACAATGGATGTGAAGGAACTCTTCAAGGAGAACTACAAACCACTGCTCAAGGAAATAAGGGAGGACAAAAACAAATGGAAAAACATTCCATGCTCATGGTTAGGAAGAATCAATATCATGAAAATTGCCATACTGCCCAAAGTAATTTATAGATTCAATGCTATTCCCATCAGCCTACCATTGATTTTCTTCACAGTATTAGAAAAAACTACTTTAAATTTCATACAGAACCAAAAAAGAGCCCATATAACCAAGACAATCCTAAGCAAAAGAACAAAGCTGGGGGCATCATGCTACCTGACTTCAAACTATACTGCAAGGCTACAGTAACCAAAAACAGCATGGTACTGGTACCAAAACAGATATATAGACCAATGGAACAGAACAGAGGCCTCAGAAATAACACCACACATCTACAACCATCCAATCTTTGACAAACTTGACAAAAAGAAGCAATGGGGAAAGGATTCCTATTTAATCAATGGTGTTGGGAAAACTGGCTACCCATACGCAGAAAACTGAAACTGGACCCGTTCCTTACACCTTATACAAAAATTAACTCAAGATGGATTAAAGACTTAAACGTAAGACCTAAAACCATAAAAACCCTGGAAGAAAACCTAGGTAATACCATTCAGGACATAGGCATGGATAGACTAACCAAAAGCAATGGCAACAAAAGCCAAAATTGACAAATAGGATATAATTAAACTAAAGAGCTTCTGGACAGCAAAAGAAACTATCATCAGAGTGAACAGGCAACCTACAGAATGGGAGAAAATTTTTACAATCTGTCCATCTGACAAAGGGCTAATATCCAGAATCTACAAGGAACTCAAACAAATTTACAAGAAAAAAAACAACCCCATCAAAAAGTGGGCAAAGGATATGAACAGGCACTTCTCAAAAGAAGATATTTATATGGCCAACAAACATATGAAAAAAAGCTAATCATCACTGGTCATTAGAGAAATGCAAATCAAAACCACAATGAGATACCACCTAATGCCAGTTAGAATGGTGATCATTAAAAAATCAGGAAACAACAGATGCTGGAGAGGATGTGGAGAAATAGGAATGCTTTTACACTGTGGGAGCGTAAATTAGTTCAACCATTTTGGAGGACAGTGTGGCAATTCCTCAAGGATCTAGAACCAGAAATACCATTTGACCTAGCAGTCCCATTACTGGGTGTATACCCAAAGGATTATAAGTCATTCTACTATAAAGACACATGCACACATATGTTTATTGCAGCGGTATTCACAATAGCAAAGACTTGGAACCAACCAAAATGCCCATCAATGATAGAATGGATAAAGAAAATGTGGCACATATACACCATGGAATACTATGCAGCCACAAAAAAGAATGAGTTCATGTCCTTTGCAGGGACATGGATGAAGCTGGAAACCATCATCCTCAGCAAACTAACATAGGAACAGAAAACCAAACACCACATGTTCTCACTCATAAGTGGGAGTTGAACAATGAGAACACAAGGACACAGGGAGGGGAATATCACACACTGGGGCCTGGCAGCAGGTCGGGGGTAGGGGAGGGATAGGATTAGGAGAAATATCAAATGTAGATGATGGGTTGATGGGTGCAGCAAACCACCATGACGTGTGTATACTTATGTAACAAACCTGCATGTTCTGCACATGTATCCCAGAAATTAAAAAGAAAAAAGAAAAAAAAATATGTGCTTGCTTTAAATAATGGAGGGAAACCCAGTAAGGGAGAAAGATAAATAGTTCTAACAAAATTAAATATAGCCTCACCTTACCCTCAGTTTGGAGCAAAAATTAGTTGGCACCAACAAAGGCTGGACAGATTGTGTAGATTAAAGAGGTAAAAGCCATTTTCTTAAGTGTGGCAAAACACACATAATGTAAAATTTACTATCTTAACCATTTTTAAATGTTCAGTTCATTGGCATTAAGTACCTTCACCTTCTTGTACAACCACCATCACCATCAATCTCCAGAACACTTTTCATCTGGCAAAATTGAATTCTGTACCCATTAAACAATAACTCTCCATTTCCTCCTACCCCCACTCCCTGGCAACCACCCCTCTACTTTATGCCTTTATAAATTTGGCTACTCTAGATATCTTATATAAGTGGAACCATACATTATTTGTTCTTTCGTGACTGGTTTGTTTCACTTAACATATTGTTCTCAAGGTTTATCTGTGTTGTAATGTGTCAGAATTTTCTTCCTTTTTAAGGCTGAGGCCAGGTGCAGTGGCTCACTCCTGTAATACCAGCACTTTGGGGAACTCAGCTGTGCTTGAGCCCAGGAGTTCAAGGTCAGCCTGGGCAACATGGTGAGACCTTGTCTTTACAAAAAATGCAAAACATTTGTCTGGGCATGGTGGCGCACTCCTGTAGTCCCAGCTACTAGGGAGGCCAAGGTGGGAGGATCACCTGAACTTGCTGAGGTCAAGGCTGCAGTGAGCCATGCTTGTGCCATTGCACTCGAGCCTGGGTGACAGAGTGAGACCCTGTCTCAAAGAAAAGAAAAGGAAAGATCCTGTCCAAAAGAAAAGAAAAGAAATGAAATTAACAATGTACTATTTTATATATATATATATACACATACATACACACACACACAACACATTTTGCTTATCCGTTTGCCTATTGATGGACACTTGGGTTGCTTTCACCCCTTGACTGTTATGAATAATGCTGTAGGAAAAAGAGTGTACAAATATCTGTTCAAGTCCCTGTTTTCAGTACTGTTAGATATATATCCAGAAGTGAAATTGCTAGATCACATGGCAGTTCTATTTTTAATTATTTGAGGAACCACCATACTGTTTTCTCATAGCAGTAGGATCAGCTATTTTCAAGCTTGGGAGAAGCAGCTCTGCATGGTTTCTCACTTCATTCTTGGAAGGAGTCACAGATTGGACCATGAACACTTGGTATCCCTGGTGATGTTTCCATTGGTTTTGCCTGGAGCACACCATCACATCCTTCTTTCCTCTATTTTAAGCATTCCATTACTTTTCAAAGGAAAAATTAAAAGTGGTTTTGGGATTGCTGCAGAGAATGCTAGTTTCAAACTAGTGTTTTTGATAAAAGGACAAAAAAAATGACTGAAGGTAAAGTTTACACATTGCCATAATATTGCATCACCTTTTATGAAAACACCTAAATTTATCGAATACCTGCTATGTACTAGGGACTTTATTAAATGTAGAAAAATAAAATTTTGTTTTGTGTTTTAAAGATAATCTCTTAGATTTACTTGTAATTTTTACTTCCATAAATGTCATGCTTAGAAATAATGTTCCACCTTAGGAAGAAAATACCAAGGTAATATATTACAGTATTAGCATGAGGTCATTCTAAGATCTTACATTTTAATATATTACAATAAGATTGATGAGGCACCAATTAAGTTAATTTTAAGAGATATATGAACAAATTCAACTTTTATGACAAAAAGGTGTATTTTTATTGCAATTCTAATTTCTTCTCTGACCCATAAGTTTAGACGAATATTTTAAATTTTATAACTGTTTGTTGTTGATTTTATCTTTATGTTGTTGGTTTCTAATTTAAATGCCTTTGGCCAGACTAAATGGACTGTTAGATAATCATTATTTGAAATTTTTTAAGATTAGTTTTATGTCCTAAAACAATGTTAAATTTTCAGTAGAGATAGTTTTTGATTTTTTTTTTCTACTCAGAGCTTATGTTGAGAGCAATTTCTTGTCATCTTGACAGGTAAGAAACTTTCTATTTTCTTACTGTTTCATTATGGATGTAGCAATTGACAGCCCAAGCTTTAAATGGAAATCTAATCTCTTCCTCATAAATTTTTTTCTACCCCCAGGTTTGTTTTCTGTTCTCTGGATGGTTGTGTGGTGGTAAAACTCAAAACTACAGACCTCTGGTATCATCAATAATCCCAGGAGAGTGATGACAGCTGCAAGGCTAAGTCACCACTGTATTTTCTGCTTCCTCTTTTTTTTTTTTTTTTTTTTTCAAAGACAGTCTAAAGAAAAAGTCTCGCTCTGTCACCCAGGCTGGAGTGCAGTGGTATGATCTCTGCTCACTGCAACCTCCGCCTTCCAGATACAAGCGATTCTCCTGTCTCAGCCTACCAAGTAGCTGGGACTAAAGGCGCCTGCCACCATGCCTGGCTAATTTTTGTATTTTTAGTAGAGACAGGGTTTCACTGTGTTGGCTAGGCTGGTCTCAAACTCCTGACCTCAGGTGATCTGCCTGCCTCAGCCTCCCAAAGTGCTGAGATTACAGGCATAAGCCACCGTGCCCAGCTTCTCTCTTCATTTTTGATTCCCCAAGCTTTCTCTGTTTATATTTTTGGAAGCTCATTTATGCATTTAAAAGAATGTTTGTTGAAATATATCCGTCATCTAGTTGTTTTGTAGCAGGAAAGATGGTCAGAGTATTTATTCTACCACATTTCTAGAAAGGCAAGCGCTTTAGCTTATCTTCCCAATCAAAGGGTAGTGGTTAGCTCAGTGTTTTGCATTGTCAAAAATTCTTGTCTCAATGACTTGACTCAAAGTTTCTCATCATTTATTATTGAAAACGATGGCTTATGGCTATAACCATTATTTTAGATAGGACAAAATTACATAATATTGAGTTTATGATAATGCCACCTCATTTGATTTTATGCTACCTAATCTCATTTTATTTAATCTTCATGATAAACTCTAGGATATACATATTGCCCTCAGGATTTTTTTTTTTTTCAGTTGAGAAAAACCGTTAGTTGCCCCAGTTCCCATAAGTAGCAAAACCAGAGTGGATCCACATATAACTGAATTCACATACTGCATTACTTTGCTTTCTTGAGTGTTTGGCACATTTCCATTTCAATTTTGTTACACAAACATTTATTAAGTTTCTATGACATCTGTAATGTCATAGAAACTTACTTATTGTATTTATATTACTGTGCTAGGTGCTGGGAGATAAAAAAATATATTAGAAACAGTCATTACTGTCTAAACAGAAGAAATATACCTAATTTCAAACCAATTTGGAAAATCCTCAGGGGTAGGCACTGATCCTAGTAATGATACTGTAACTTACTGAATGTTATATCTTCTAGGAGTTGAATGATTTGGACTGTATGTTTTTGAGTTATGCTTTAGTTTCCTTTTTATTATTTATTTATTTATTTTTGAGATTGAGTCTTGCTCTGTTGCCCAGGCTGGAGTGCAGTGGCATGATCTCAGCTCACTGCAACCTCTGCCCCCCGGGATCAGGCAATTCTTCTGCCTCAGTCTCCTGAGTAGCTGGGATTACAGGCGTGCGCCACCACACCTGGCTAATTTTTTTGTTTTTAGTAGAGATGAGGTTTCACCATGTTGGCCAGGCTGGTCTTGAACTCTTGACCTCAGGTGATCCACCCACCTCAGCTTCCCAAAGTGCTGACCTTGGCCTCCCAAAGTGCTGGGATTACAGGTGTGAGCCACTGTACCCTGCCTAGTTTCCTTTTTAAATACTGTTTTTATTTATAAAAATTAAAGATTGACATATTCTACATAACAAATGATTAAAGTTGCAATTATCTGATTTTTTAAATATAGATTTTAGCCTATGTTAATATCTCATATCTACCATTGGTGACTTTCTAAAAAATAGGATAAAATACAGGTCATTATGTAGAATAGAAAATAGATTCTTGCACTTCAGTAGTGTTGGAAAACATCTTAAGAGACCAAAGGATCTGAGATTTTCTAAAGCAGCAGCAGCAACTATATATTTTTTAAATTCTTTGCCAAACAGTGTTAGAACTTATGATGATAAGAGGCTATCAAAGTCTTAATTAAGTGAATAGATTACTATTCCATTGTTCCTTTGTAAGTCACATCTGAGGCAATACCTGAGAGTATCTGAGGCTGTACACCTTAAAGAGCTTTAAAACTGGAGAAGGGGAGCTGTGAGGATATTGATTGTTTTGTATCTTGGAGGGACAGGCTAATGGGGGGAGTGGTTGATGTTTATAGAGTCATGTTCCCCAATTTCCTTCTCAAACTGCACTTTTTGAAATGTCAAAGGAAGCATTACTCTACCAATCTCATAGCAGACCTAGAGTCCATAACCTCAGAAGGTGATACTCTTGGTGGGAAATGTAGAAGAATCAAGAAGGCCTTCAATTGTTGCATGACAGATGCATGTTGATGCCTTATACAGGATGTCCTTGGGCTTTTTTTTTTATAGGGCCTTGTTGTATTAGCCTTGAACTCCTGGGCTGAAGTGGTCTTCCTGCCTTAGTCTCCCAAGTAGCTGGAACTATAAGGTGCATGCTACTTCACTTGGCTAATTAAAAAAATTTTTGTTGTAAAGATGGGATCTCACTATATTGTGCAGGCTGGTCTTGAACTCCTGACCTCAAGGAATCTATCCCCCTCAGCCTCTCAAAGTGCTGGGATTATAGGTGCGAGCCACCATGACTGGCTGTCCTTGGGCTTTGAGAAGAGGTCACTGAGGGAGGAAGACCTTCTGTCTATTCTTAGTCCCCAATACTAGAATAATCTTGAGCTGGTTGGAATATAGAGCTGAGCTGCTGTAGTGGTTCTGTTGTTACACTAGCAAAAGAACAATTAAATAAATAGACAAAAACAAACTAAAACAGGTAAATATTTGCAAGGAAAACATAAAAATTCCAGTTCTCAATAGGACAATGTTTCTGTGTTTATGGTGATTGAATAGATTTAGTAGTCCAATGTCTAGCAGTGTTAGTTGAAGCTATGGGAGTATCTAAATGGGAGAGATGGGAATGGAGAGTTGAGCTTTGAGCAATGCTTAGTAATTAAGGACAAGTGGAAGAGGAGGAGCCTGTGAAAAGATTGATAAATAGTCCTCAAATTAGAGGGAAACGTGGAGCTGTTATCTTGCAGGCCTAAGATGGAAGGAGTAGTCAAAAGTGTCAAGATAAGCTTTATAAGATTAGCTTTTGACAAGAGGTGTTTGGCTTGCATTGAGAAAAGAAGAAAAATGAGCTGGAAGAAGAAGCAGGTAAGTTTGTTCACAGGTGTCAGGGGAAGGAAAAATATTGTCATTGGAGGGGTGAATCCATAGCATAGTGGCCCGTAATTAACCTCCATAGCAAGAGAAGTCTCAGACATTTTAATGTTCAAAAGTGCTATAGTACTTTGCTTTCCTTGGGCTATAGTGCTTGAATTTGGAATGAAACTCAGTTCTTGAGCTCAGCTCAGCACACCCCAACATATGTCCCCTTTCCTTGTTTAATCTTACTTCAGTGGCTTCCAGAATCAGAAGTGTGTGTGTGTGTGTGTGTGTGTGTGTGTGTGTGTGTTATAAACAGCTTGTAACCTGGATGGGATTGTATTTAGCCTGTTTTTCTCCAGCTACTTGAAAGCATATTTTCTGAAAACAATTCCAACTTTCTGTGGCCAAAAAGTTGTCTGGTTTTCCCCTTGTACATTGTGAAAATTAAATAAATTAAATTTTATAATTTTCTTTTTCTTTTGTTTTACTGTCAGCATCTCTGTTCTTTTGTATAGATATGAAAAGCAGTGATCTCAGCCATTTATGTGAACACTCATGCATACTTTTTATATTTTGCACACATTCTGGTAGAATCCTTCAGGTTAATCTTCCAGCTTGCTACTTAAACTTTGTCTAGGTCGCTGATGCTACTTAGCTCATCTGTTGCATTAAAAAAATTTCCAACCATTTTATTTTTAGTTTCCAAACTACACAGTATTTTTCTTTAGAGCTGCTTCCAGATTTTGAATGAGATTACTATGGACCCTATTTGAGGACACACATTAAATTTACTTTTATGTTTTCTTCTCTGTACTCTATTAGGTCCAACTCCTTAAGTTTTAATTCTTTTTTGTTGTTGTTATTGCTTTGGGCTCTTTCTTGCAGGTATTAGGTTTTTTCCAAATATTTGGGCATATTTGATTGACTTCCCATTTCTTATTGGCGATCCTTGTTTGCCTGTTGTTGAATGGAGGTTCTGATGACAGGAGCCTCATTCTTCTAAATACAAATTGGCCCTTGAACATCACTAGTTTGAACTGCATGGGGTCCACTTACACCTGAACTTTCTTCTGCCTCTACTACCACTGAGACAATAAGACCAAACTCTCCTCTTTCACCTACTCAACATGAAGATGATGACAAGGGTGAAGACCTTTACAACGATCCACTTCAACTTCATGAATAGCAAATATATTCAAATATATTCTATCTTTATTATCATTTTCTTAATAACATTTTCTTTTCTCTATTTATTTTTCTCTAGCTATTTATATATAACATATAACATACAAAAATGTGTTAATTGACTATGGTATCGTTGAGGCTTCCAGCCAACAGTAGGTTACTAGTAGTTGAGTTTTGGGAAGTCAAAATTATACATGGATTTTTGACTGTGCAGGGGCTCAGTGCCCTTAACCCCTGTGTTGTTCAAGGATCAACTGTAATTGTGAGAAAGGCCTGAGGTGTGGAGCCCAGGGTAGGGATTCAGAGGTGCATCTTCTAGATTTGGGTGGTCACCATCCATCCTGAGTGCCTGAGTGTCTCTGGCCCCAGAACACACTGGGTAGATCTCCTGAGACACAGCCACTGCTTTAGAAAACCAGGTACACATCAGGACGTACCTCAGGCAGGCCCACATCTGCTTTTCTCCCTAGTCCCAACACTAAGGCCACTTGCTCCTCCAGGTGAGTCTTTCCTACAAAGTGATTCTGGGCGTGTCAATATGTGCAGGGGGCTGCTGCTGCTATCTGCTTTCAGAATAGGGGAAGGATGGGGTGAGGCTGATTCCCATGCTTCAAATGGAGTTCTTCAGTGATTTGCTGACTTTGCCTCAGGATGGTTTCTGTGATGACTTCTCTAAACTAAAGCATCTCTGCGTTTATGCCTCCTCTGATCTCTGATGTGTTCTCGGGTATATTTTGGGTTGTGGTGTTTTTGGTTTTGTTTCTTTATCAGCCAGATTTCTTCTGCTTTCTGTGTTATAGGAATTTCTCAAAATTTTAATATTTTTTTATGAGAGAATTTGTTGTTTTCTCGTGTGAATTTGTTCTTTTAAAAAATTAATTTACTGTCCTTTCATGAGATTGGTGGTAGGAAGAGATAGGTCACATGCTCTGGACTCTCAAATAGGGTTTGATGTCTCTTTACGAAAAGGTAAACATAAGGTTTTAAATTTTAGTCAAATGCTTAAAATGTGATTTAAGACATTAGCACCATCACCACCATCTCCAATACCACTACCAACAACACTAACTGATATGTATTTAGTTTTGGCCGCGTGCCTGGTACTCTGCTAACTACCCATACAAACACTATTAGGTATATTATCCTCACTTAGAGATGAGAAATAGAGACTTCTGAAGGTCAAGCAACTTAACCACAGTGCTACAAGAGCATCACCACTATTTTATAGTGGGAATAAAAAGTAGATGGCCAAACAGAACATTCTGGAAAGAAATGAAATTACAGGAAAATCAAGTGACACGTTCAAGTAAAATTTGACCAACCTTGCCTTTTGTTTTCTCCCAGCATATTTAGGAGACAGAATATAGTAAATTGAAGCATGAATAGTTTTGATTGCAGTAATTTATGAAGACCGATGAAGGAATGGTAGGTCTTGATTAGAGGGGAAGGGGATAATAGGCATTTTAACCCAAGGGAATGTCCAGTGTCAGCAGTGGCAGGAAAATGCATAGTTCACTCTGTGAGACTGGGGTGTTGGTCACGTTCTGTTTGAAAGGATATTGTGGGAGATGAGACTTTAGAGGCTATGGATGCCCAGATGCTCAGTTTCTCCTGAGATGCTAGTTCAAATCCAAGATTTTGAAATCTTCCAGTAAGTGTAACAAACCCACACTAAAACTGTCTGGCCAATTAATTGGTGGCTTGAGTAACTGAGTGGGTTCTGATAGCTCCATGTTTTACTTTCTTTCTAATCTTCTCTTTGCTTTCCTGTTTTGCAATTTCTTGCTGCAGTTGAAACATGGACAATAAAAATGAAATAGACAATCTGTTGAATGTTGAACTTTATTTTCTTTTGGTTTACATACACCGTGCACCATTATAGGGAAAAGAAAAAGACTTGAGATGGGTCTGGAGAGACATCTTAGTAAAGCTTTTTCCTAGCAAGCTTGGAGCAATGTAAGAACAGGTTGCTGAGGAGAGAGAATAGGATACCTCCCTTTTGTTAAGTTCATCTGGGTGTCATTCATGATCTAGGAATGTGCAAGCAGTCTAGGTAAGATTTAGGTTTAAATAACTCTCATAAGGGTAACTTTGAATTTCCAAAGAGACATTGTGGAGAAAAGTGCTCCTTGCAGACGAAATAGATACGGAAGTTTGTCTTGGAAGTGGTATACTATTAACTAAATTGATCAGGCAAACTGAAGAGGGTGGGCAATTTTAAGCACCAAATCTGCAAAGGATATTAAAAACATAATGCAATTAAAATCACTGCCCTGGGTATGAGAAGGTCTATAGATTAACTTGAGGGGGACAAAACAGTTCATAAGTATAAATCAGGTGTTAGTTTCCTCTGCTTAAATAAACTTGGTTGACTTTAGCAGAATATTGCTGCTGCTCGGAAATGTTGGCCAGCCCCAACAGCTGTATTTCTTTTCCTAAAACTTTGTATATTGTGATAATATTAGATTTACAGAAGAATTGCAGAGATGATACAGAGTGTTCTCAAATATTGTCCGCCCAGCTTTCTTTAATATAGCATCATGCATAACTGTAGTACACTTCTCAAAACTCAGAAATTAAAAAGGGTACAATACTATCAACTAAACTACAGACTTTATTGAAGTCTTCCTTTTTTCACCCTACTAATGTCCTGTTTCTGTTCCAGAATCCAATTCAGGAAACCACATTGCATTTAGTTATTCTATCTCCTTAGTCTCTTTCAACCTATGAAAATGTCTTCGTCTTCCCTTGTCTTTCATGACCTTTACAATTTGGGGGAGTGCTGATGAGGTATTTTATAGAATGTCACTCAGGTTGCATGTATCTGATGTCTTCTCATGATTATGCTGAGGTTATAAATAATTGTCCTTTTAGAGCTAAATAACCTTTTTCCTCTTATCTAGCTTTCTGCTAGCTACCTAGTAGTGGGATGTTTTCTTCTTACTGTAATTCTTAAGAATCCAAATTTATCTATTCAGTTACTGGCCTTAGAGGACTCATTTTATTTTCCTTAAACAACAAAGTCAACAAGAACGTCTTTGCTGTGGGCGAAATACACTAAATATTGATGGTGTAGAGGTCAGAAATAAAATGATGCCATCATTAGGGAGAAGGAAGAGCTCACATTTTACTGACTGTCTGAGAAAGCAGAACTTAAACACCCATCACATTTTATCATTGCCAGTGACTATTGGACAGTTATAGGATGGGTTATTTCTTATGAAGAAGAAGTTGCTCTCCTTTCCTAGAAATGATTTTCCAAAGAATTTTCAATATAAAATATAATTTAAAGAGAAAACAATTATTAACTCCAGACATCTCTCAACCTGATAGATAAGACACAGTTTTTTTTTCCAGTGAAATAATCTAATTGAGTTTAGCTGAAATACTGTTTTCCAGTGCCCATGATGCTTGATTTAGCATCTTGAATGAAAATAGTTTCCAGGACTAAAAAAAAAAGACAATAAATTTGGATTTTTGAAGAGGCCATCAACTATATACAGACATCTCAATTTATTACTTTCTGACATGGTAATTAAGTGGCATGATTTAGTTTTGTAACAGCTTTCTTTCTTCATGCAAATGTGAAATTTTACTTTTATATGTGTATAGATCAAAAACAGACAATAAAACTATACAAATTGCAATGTAACTATAGACCTCATAACGTTAGTTGAATAAGCAATTTCCAGAATGTGGGTTGAGGTGGGATGGACTAGTCGAATATTAAGTTTTCGTCTTTTTTCTAATACAGTATTGGGGACATATTATTTTATTGTGGGGCAGAAGGTGCAATCCCACTTTGGACCTTTATGAGAAGCAAGGGGGGAAGGTATCAGGGAATTTTTTTCTTTTTTTATTGCAAGAAACACAGTTTTCGATCTTTGTTGAGTCCTGGGATTGGAATAGCCATTTTCCTTGTGAGAGTTTGGTAAGAGTGTGTGACCCTGCTGTGCTGCGGTGAGACATGTAGCTCCTTTCTGGTGACCTACCTCCCTAAAAGGGGAGCTAGGCCTCTATACACAGCAAAGGTAAGCCCTTGGAACAGGAGCCCCTTTCATCACCATGTCTCCCAAAATAGTGCAGGATATTTGGTTAAGTAACACAACAATTGGGTGGCAATCTACCAGAAAGAGGCAGACTCTCAAGATAAAGGAAGAGGGTTATACTGTGTTGGTTACACATCAACTCTAGACTCTGAGAGAGTCTGAGAATATTCCATAATAAGACTGGCCAAGAGTTTGGTGCTATAGGCCACAGTAGCTTCCCTTAAGGCTAGAGTCCAAGTTGATGTCTTAAAGTAGATTTAGTGAGCAGTCAAGAACAATGTACCAACAATTCCTTGAGCCTTTTATTGAATCAAGGTGCGTGGGTATGTGTGTGTGTGTGTGTGTGTGTGTGTGTGTGTGTGTGTGTGTATTTAGCGGTGAGGGGTGAAAGTTTAATAATTGGCTATTTCTAGAGGGTTGGTAAAAAGGAAAGAAAACCACATCTAGGTCATAGAATACTCATTCCAGAGGTATCTAATGATAGGAAATTGTCAGAGTCCTCATTGTTCAGGCTTGGCACAGCCAACATGGTTATTCTATGGCTGTCTGTGGGCTGAGGTGGCTCTTTCCAAACATAGTTCAGAAGTACTTGGAAATAATAGCTGGGGAGGGAATACAAAGCTGTGAACCAGGCCAAGCGTGATGGCCATGCCTGTAATCCCAGCACTTTTGGAGGCTGAAGGGGGTGGATCACCTGATGTTGGGAGTTTGAGACCAACCTGGCCAACATGGTGAAACCTCATTTCTACTAAAAATACAAAAATTAGCTGGCTGTGGTGGCATGCACCCATAATCCCAGCTATTCGGGAGGCTGAGGCACGAGAATTGTTTAAACCCGGGAGGTGGAGGTTGCAGTGAACCAAGATGGCGCCACTGCACTCCAGGCTGGGTGACAGAGCGAGACTCTGTCTCAAAAAAAAAAAAAAAAAAAAGGAAACAGTGGGAAAACTAATGAAAACAAGGTCTAATGCCTTTTCTTCAAGTGATAATTTTTTCTTTCTTTACTCCTCATAAATGGCTAATATTCAGATAATGAGAAAATATTAAGTGCCTTATTTTATTTATTTTTTCTTTTTAACCTTTATTTTAGGTTTGGGGGTTAGGTGCCTCATCTTAAAAGTAGGAACAATGTAGTAAACTGTGTAAGTTTCCAGTTGTAGTGAAATGTGGAGGGAATATAGTCTAATGGAGGAGACCAACTTGAAAATAAATGGTTGTAATGCAGTGTGATAAATTATCTTGGGAACTTAGCAGGAGAACTGCCTCTTCTTTGAGGAGTTAAAGAAAACTACTCAAGAGTGGGATTTTGTTTTTTGTTTTTTTGAAACAGAGTCTCTCTCTTTTGCCTAGGCTGGAGTACAGTGGTGCAATCTTGGCTTACTGCAACCTCTACCTCCAGGGTTCAAGCAATTCTCCTGTCTCAGCCTCCTGAGTAGCTGGGATTACAGGCGCCCACCACCATGACTGGCTAATTTTTGTATTTTTAGTGGAGGCAGGGTCTCACTATGTTGGCCAGGCTGATCTTGAACTCCTGACCTCAGGTGATCCACCCACCTTTAATATCCTTGGCCTCTTAAAGTGCTGGGATTACAGGTGTGAGCCACTGTGCCCAGCCAAGAGTGAGATTTTGAACCCTGCATGGAATTGTATTTACCAAAGCAAAGTAGAAAGCACCTTTGAGGCAGAAGACATGGAAGTTCTGTAGGGAAATTGCAATAGGGTTGCAAAACAGGGTCGGGGAGCATGAATGAAACAGGCAGTCAATGAGGATGGAAAGGAAGACTGGAACCAGTTTACAAGATGTGTAAGGAGTGTGGACTTTATTCTGTAGAGAAGTGTGGCAATTATGTATTAATTTTAGAAGAACAATGATGCAAAGAGAAGATGGATTGAAAAAGGCAATATCAGAGGCAGAAAATCCAGTTAGGAGGCTGTTGCTATATCATCATCTAGAAAAAAAAATGGAGGCTTGAACCAAGGCAATGGTGATGCAAAGAGATACAAAATGGTTTTATAACCATTCAGTGCGTGAAAGAGCCAACCTTGGTGAAGATGGGTGAGTGGTAAGAAGAAAGAAGAATAATAAGTATTAACTTTTTTATTTTTTTACCTTTAGCAATTCCTGTTATTTCAAACAGGAAATTAATAGCTGAGGCCAGGCGCAGTGGCTCACGCCTGTAATCCCAGAAGTTTTGGAGGCCGAGGTGGGTGGATCACCTGAGGTCAGGAGATAGGGACCATCCTGGCCAACATGGTGAACCCCGTCTCTACTAAAAATACAAAAATTAGCTGGCCGTGGTGGCACGCGCCTGTAATCCCAGCTACTCCGGAGGCTGAGGCAGGAGAATCACTTGAATCTGGGAAGTGGAGGTTGCAGTGAGCCAAGTTGCGCCACTGCACTCCAGCCTGGGTGAGACAGAGAGATTTCGTCTCAAAAAAAAAAAAAAAAAAAAGAAAAATATGCTGCTCTAAAATACACACACACACACTTTCTCTCTGTCTCTCTCTTTCTCTCTCTCTCTCTCTAGAGAGCCATTAAGCAAGCTAGAGTCAATGTTGCAAAATGATCACAATAGCTGAATTTAGGTGATGAGCATAAGAGTGCTTATTGTACTGTCCTTTTCCACCTTTCTGCAGTTTAGGAATTTTTTCTAAATTGCAAAGTTGTCAACGATTTGAGCTATTGACATGACTGAATCAAGTGCATCTGAAGAACCAGCGTTCCAGGACAAGTCGGAGTGCTGCTGCCCTGGCTCTCACCACTTCCCTTCTCCTTCCTCCTCCATCACTGCCACAGCACAGCCATTCTTTGTGCATTGTATCTAATAAGGCAGAATGACGAACAGAATGCCAACTCAATACATAGGTTTATACTACAAATTCACATAACCTCAGAATTAGAATATTTTATCATATATTAGAAATCACAGCAACTTCTACATAGCTAGCATGCCTAACAGACATGTTCCCAATTATTGCATTTTTTACATTATTCTTCTCTTATTTGGCACTTCCTAATTACATCCTGTGTATTATCCACATGCTATCTGTTCACTCCACAATTTTCACCTGTATCCAAATAGACAAAGACACATGATCAAACTCTTCACATTTCTTTGCTTTACTCTTTAGTATCCTGCTGCAGCCTGTCATTTTTTATAACCAGCATTAACAATTCTTGTAGCTGAAAGGTAATGAATTCCGAAAACAGAAGTATCTCAAAGCGGGAAGCCTTGACTCATCTATGGTTTTGAATCTTGTGTTCAATGGTAATTTCTATTACATCAAATTTACTTTGTTTACATATTGCACTAAGGTGTTTAAAATCAAAGACTTTTATCTTGGTTTTAATATGTCCACAAAATATGGGTGTGTTTGTGTGTGTGCACATACAAGTATGTTATAGTTGTACTTTATATTTTTTATTTCTGAGATTTTACTTTATTTGCATTTTTATTTAGGTCTGAGATTCAGCCTCTTCTGTTGCCTGTAACCTGAGGTTAGGATTGTGTCTATTTCTTTGTGCCTCTTACTTCCTTCTAATCCCTTTCCTATCTCCAGGCTACAGTGCCATGAATGTGATGGAAAGCAGTGGACCCACTGAATTACTCCAGGTTTTAAGTGAATACCCTGAACAAGCTAGGGCAGCTGAGCAGAAATGGATAACTGAATGTTCTAATCAAATAAAATGACAACAAAGCAGGTTTAGACCATTTTTCATGAATGAGTTGATTCCTATCCTGCATGGTAATTAGATATGTATAGTAAGCCACTCAGATACGTGCCAGAGATTTTTATTTCATTTCCAACTGAAACGGGTGAAAGGAGATTTTTCATAAGGTAGAGTTTTTCTCCCTTTTAAAATTCCCTCTTTCTAGGTTGAATGAGTGACTAAAAAATAAAAAAAAAAAAAAACTAAAAACATAAATTCCTCCTTTCTTGCTTTTTTTTTTTTTGCTTCCATGATAACTTCCAGTTAAAAAGTACTAACAATTTCAATTTCAAGTAGTTGGATTGCTAAACTACCTTGTTTGGGGGCAAATTTGCAGAGCTACTTCTGGTCCCCCACTATACTTTGGTGTTGACCCTGACCCTTGGCATCATCTCTGAGTGTGGATGGGGCCACCTCACTTTGGTCCTCATTTCTATTGATATGTGGAGTCTCTCGGTTGCTAGGGAAAAGATGGGAAAAGAGCAGGAGTGCAGGGATCTTCTGGGAATGGTGGTACTGGACAGTTTGAGTTTAAAAGTTACTGCAACATGTTGAATAAACTGAAATGGCTCCAGTCAAAACTGGTTGTTGGGAAAGGACAAAGGGACATTGGAGCAAAAACTGGACTTGAGGTGGAGATAGTGGGGAAAGGACGGGATAGCCATATTGGTTACGTGCCTTTACGTGGGTCTAGGATGTTATATATAAGCCCTGGCTCTTGCTATTCTGTGGCCTGATTTTGGAATCCTCCTGAGTCAGTCTAGTCACCACAGGCATGACTCTGAGAAAGTGATTGCAGTGTGTAAGCTAAAGATCTGTGCCACTAAAGAGGTTATGATTAAAACTCAGATGTCCTCTGGCTTGGAGCTTTTATCAGTGAGTAAAGCTAGGGGGAAAGGGCATCTTTTTTCTTTGAATCTTGAGAAACTCCTGTAGGACCAGCAGCAGTGGTTTTTTGCTCCTGTTACCATATTGTTTCTCATGATGGTAAGGACCTTGCACTGGGTTATCCACCAGTCTGGGCAAAGGCACTCATAGAGCAACAGCAACATTTACAGTAGCAGTGGATGGTGGTGCCCTTTCAATCCACAGACAAGATTTTCTGGGCTGGGTGCGGTGGCTCACGCCCATAATCCCAGCACTTTGGGAGGTCAAGGCGGATGGATCACCTGAGGTCAGGAGTGCAAGATCAGCCTGACCAACATGGAGAATCCCCGTCTTTACTTAAAAAAAAAAATACAAAATTAGCCAGGTGTGGTGGCGCATGCCTGTAATCCCAGCTACTAGGGAGGCTGAGTCAGGAGAATCTCTGGAACCTGGGAGGTGGAGGTTGCGGTGAGCTGAGATTGCACCATTGCACTCCAGCCTGGGCAACAAGAGCAAAACTCTTATCTCAAAAAAAAAAAAAAAATATATTTTCTGGCCTGGTTACTCACTGGTGAGGTGATAGATACCAAAACATCACTTTGAGCTGAGTAAGCACTGGGATACTTTGAGTTACCATTCAAGAGAGAGAAGGTAGGGAAGAATATACTCCTTACCCAGATCAGATGGAAAATATAGACTTGTGTAAGCAGTATGGAGGTATTGACAAGTGCTCCTTAACAGAGCGTGAAAAGCTTGACAGGCATTCGGAGATTTGACCTCCGAGCATATTATTGTAATAGTTCCAATAACCCAGGTTAAAAAAGAATAAATTTGTGCAAGAATAATATTTTTGCAATAACTTTCAAAAATAAATGATGTATAAAACTTTTGTAAATTCTCATCCTATGATTTCATCCTGATTTGAATAAGTAGCAAAAAAAAAAAAAATTAATGAGCAAGTACAAGTTTATGGGATTGTAAGCAGGGATTTCCCTCCCTCTTCCTAGCATAAATCTCTGAACAGAGGAGATGCTTCTTTGACCATTATTCTGTTTCCCTAAACTTCCTTGGAGAATTCCTGATTATTCTTGTGGCTTACTAGAGTGAGGACTCCAGAAATGGTGAGATTTTAATAATTCAATGAATGCATCATTCCAGGAGCCTATTTTGGGGGATATTTGTTGGTTGTTTCCCCATCACATGCCTTATCTTCTCCTGGTGAGTTTGCTCACTCTCATT
Organism: Homo sapiens; assembly: GCF_000001405.40. NCBI lineage: Eukaryota > Metazoa > Chordata > Mammalia > Primates > Hominidae > Homo > Homo sapiens. Next base: position 238,020,563 of record NC_000001.11, read on the forward strand.
TTGGCTTTATGGATTGGGTGACCTTGACCCCCTTCAAGTTCTAGATTCTTGATTGGTTCTTGATTGGCTTCAGTAAATTGGGTTATCCTAACCCTGAGCCCACAGTGGCTGGTTCAAGGACAGGCACGTAATCCAGTCAGCGCCAATGAGATTTGAAGACACATTTCCTGGAGCACCTCAGTATTTTTTTCCCTGTGGAATCCATCCCAAAAGATTCTCATTCCCAGTGCCCAAAGATGAGGAAAGCTGGCCCTGAGAACAACTGGCAGCCACCCTGGGACCATGTGGAGAGGGTCTGCCTAGAATCAGATCCAAAAGCACTGATGTTGTCCCAGAAAACAGACAGGGGAAAACTGGATCCTGAATAGATTCAAACGTTGAATTAAGCACTGAAATATTTTTCAAACTATGATGTAAGCCCATTTTAATTGGATTTTCTTTTATTTGAACTGTGAAGGGTCTGAAATGATATAGAGACAAAATGATTCCTAGACTCGAGAAAAGAACTCTTAACTGTAGTTTTGCTAGTGGTCACAATATATCTAAAGGAAAGAAATCATGGTCACAAGGAATGCGGTCAGTATACCCATGGCTTAGGGTTGGAAGGAAAAGTGGCAATTCTTTTTAAGAGATGGTGCATCTGTGCAAAAGGACATCTTACATTCTCTGTTGAGGGGTTGGCCTATGGTTGTGCTTTCCCAGAGCTCAGATAAAACATACCCCCAAACCACTTTACCTTTATTGTTAGACTTAACAAGATCGCAGAGCAAAATTATGATGAATAATTCAGGTTTTAGAAGCCCTGGTATGGTGAGGGTAGGGTGTCTTAAGTAAAAACTGAAGCATTATGGTCATTAAAAAGTCATAGGTCCTATTTTTGATTAGCTTTTTACTTTATGTACCATTTGGTGGGTATATGTTAACTGGTGTGGGTACTTAGTTCTTAGTTAGCAAGTGGCTGAGGGTACATTAAGAAAATCCAGTATGAAAAGCTGGGGATTAGACATTAAAACATGGTACCTCAATAGAGGTGCAGGCAAGGATATCCTGCCTGACTTCCTCAGGGGGGTACCTTAACTCTACTTTTTGTGACTCTGTTTAGAATTCACGATATGCTTCACAGGGAAGAATAAAAATATATGTATGTGTGTCTCTAACAGAAGACATATGATATGACCTCACAGGCATGAACCCTCAATGTAAAGTATGGCAGATGTGTTATACAAGGTTGATTATTTCATCAAAGATGCTATGGAAATTATTAAGCATGTGAGTCTCTTCAGACTTCAGGCAATGCAGGCACAAAATGATAAAGAAAAAGTGTCTTTTCTCTTTAGAAAACAAAAAAGTTTGAAATGATAAATACTAGTTATAAATAAGTAATAAAAACTGTCAGTGGAAAAGCACATATCTAGAATCATATTCTCCTGCTCCAACTGTCAATGTAACTCTCACTGGTTTAATTTTAAAATTCCTTAAAAGTACTGTTTCCTTAGCTTAGGCATTACCATCTTGAATAAAGTTTGTTCTGGTATGGGATAAAAGAAAAACTTTTTATTATTGAAAAGTTAAATTGAGTATTTCTAAGTCCAGAGTTTCATTCTTAAAAAAATAAATTAAGACTCAAGATTTTTCTGGTTAAAGCAGTTATTTTCAAGTCAGGTATTTAAAGTCCTCAGTCAGGTATTTAAAGTCCTCAGTATAAATTTTCTAACATTAAATTTTACTTTATAATGAAAGTAGTACATGCAATTATTGAAATTTTCTAGGCAACAAATGCTCCTTGACAAGATACTGAATATTCATGGGACAAGGAATTTCCAAACTAAAGTCTTAACCTACACCTAAATGAGACCAGCTATTCTTTATGTCCCTATGCAAAAGCCTGTGGAAGGCTTTTCCAAGTGATGGTTGGTCACAGGGCACTTGGATCAGAATAACTGGGGAGACTTCCATTTCTAGTTAGGATGGACAAAATCACAGGAGACAATTGCTTCTATGCTACTAAGAACAAGCCAAATAGGCGGCAAGCTACAAAATCCTAGTTTAAGAAGTCAATTAGAGAGTTCAGGACAGAAATAGACCTAAATAAACTAAAATATAGAAAGTGGTAAGTCTTTCCTAGGAGCTGAGAGGCATTCCTGTTTTTCATACCTGGCAGAGTGGTGAGGGTGGGAGGAATCCATCATAGATGGGGTAAGAAAAAACCAGTAGAATTCTTAACAAATTTTTAATAGCATGTTTGGGCTGATAAGATACATTCTGTATCTTACATACATACAATCTGAGGAGCCCAAGACATAATTTGAGCCTGCACATACCCACCATCTCTTCCCAATTTTCTCTCACTGAGTGGATCAGGGTTGTGTGCCAAATGCTGGGGCAGGTAAGACTGCTGAGATAAAACCTCTCCAGAGACTCTTGAGATATCACTATAGACACTTGAATAATAAAAGGATGTTATGAACAACTTTATGCAATAACTTTAATAAATAAGATAAAATTGAAATCTTTGAAAAAATACAACATATCAAAATTGACAGGAGACAAAGTAGAAAATCTAAATAGCCCTGCATATCATCTGTTAAAGTCATAATACAGTCATATATTGAAGTCATAATAGAGAACCTTCCCTAAAACAAACTCCAGGCCCAGATGTCTTCACTGGTGAATTCTAGAAAACATTTAGGAATAAATATTACCAATATTTCATAAGCTCTTTCAGAAAATAAAGGATGATAAAATACTTCCCAGTTCATTTGATGAGGTCATCATAACTCTGTTGCCAAAACACAAAAGAGGTATTAAAAATATTATAGACCAATATCTCTCTTGAACATAGATGCAAAAATCCTGAAGAAATTACTAATGAATCAAAAATAGCCACATAGTACATTGTGACCAAGTGGAACTTATCCCCATAATGCGGTATTAATTTAACATTTGTATTCATTTGTTCTCACATTGCTATAAATAACTACCTGAGACTGGGTAATTTATAAAGAAAAGAGGTGTTATTGGCTCATGGTTCTGCAGGCTATACAGGAAGAATGGCTGGAGGCCTCAGGAAACTTACAAACATAGTGGAAGGCAAAGGGGAAGCATGCATGTCTTCATACAGTTGGAGCAGGAGAGAGAGTGAAGGGGGAAGTGCTACATACTTTTAAGCAACCAGATTTCATGAGAACTTACTCGCTATCACAAAACACAAGGGAGAAATCCACCCCCATGACCCAATCACCTCCCACCAGGTCCCTCCCCCAACATTGGGAATTACAAGTTGACAGAAGATTTGAGTGGGGACACAGAGCCAAGCCATATCAACATTCAAAAGTCAAACAGTGAAATTCACCAAAATAACACAATAAAGGAGAAAAATTATATGATTCAACAGATGGAGGAAGAAGCATTTGACACAATGCAAGTTCATTCATGAAAAAGAATTAACCTATGAGCAAATCAGAGATTGAAAGGAACTTTTTCTATCTGATAAAGAACACTGACAACCCCTGAAAAACCAGTAGTAAAATTTATACTGAAACATTAAACTCTTCCTCTAATATCAAGAAGAAGACAAGACATGTGTTCTTCTTAACATTGTACTGTAATTCCTGGACAGTAGTAAAGAAAAGGCAATCAGTGACATAGAGTTTGGAAAGGAAAAAAATAAAAATACTCGGGTGTGGTAGCTCATGCCTGTAATCCCAGCACTTTGGGAGGCCAAGGCGGGCGGATCACCTGAGGTTGGGAGTTCGAGACCAGCCTGACTAACATGGAGAAACCCCGTCTCTACTAAAAACACAAAATTAGCTGGGTGTGGTGACACATGTCTGAAATCCCAGCTACACGGAAGACTGAGGCAGGAGAATCACTTGAATCTGGGAGGTGGAGGTTGCAGTGAGCCTAGATTGCACCATTGCACTCCAGCCTGGGCAACAAGAGCAAAACTCTGTCTCAAAAAAAAAAAAGTATATATATATATGTGTGTGTGTGTGTGTGTGTGTGTGTGTGTGTGTGTGTGTATAATTTGATATATATATTATTTGATATATATGTTATTTGAAGATTACATGATGTGTACCTATAAATCTCAGTGGAATTTATAATCACACACACAACTACTAGAAGTAGTAAATATTTACCATTTAGCAAGGTCATAGGATACAAGATCAAAATACAACACTAATTCTAAGTACCAAAAATAAATAATTTGAAAATGAGAATAAAAATATCATTTACAGTAGTATGAAAAACCAACACCTGGGAATAAAGCTTGAAACAATCTTTGAGATCTGTCCTGTGGCTGGAGTAACAAATTACGACAAACTGATGGCGTAGAACAATATACATTTAGTCTCACAGTTCTAGAGGCTGGACATCTAAATTTGTATTACTCAGCCAAACCCAAGGTGTTAGCAGGGCAGTGCTCCCTTTAAAGGCTCTGGGTGAGAATACTTTCTTTACCTCTTTGAGCTTCTGGTGGCAGCCAGCATTCCTTGGCTTATAGCCGTATCCCTCCAATCTTTAGTGGCAATATCTTTAAATCTGCCTCTTACTTGTCTTCACATTGCCTTTTCTTCTGAGGTTGTATAATCTCCCTCTACCTCACACTTACAAGGATACATGTGATTGCATTTAGGGTCCACCTGAATAATCCAGGACATAACTCCATCACATCTACAGTATCCTTATTTTTTTTTTCCCTTGCTATACAAGGTAACATTCACGGGTTCCAAGAATTAGGTAGGATCTGATGTTTTTAGGGGCCATTGTTCAGCCATGTGACACCTGTGGATTTTAACAAAATACCTATTAGAAATAGTTAGTATTTAGCAAGATCATCAGATACAAGACCAAAAATCAATGAAAATCAATTATATTTTTAAATGCTAGCAATAAATAACTTGAAAATGAAAGTTATTTCATTAATGCTACATTTTCAGTAGCATTAAAAAAATTCAATACCTAGGAATAAAGCTAACACAATGTGTTCAAGACCTATTCACTGAAAACTAAAATATTGATGAGAATAGTTAAAAATAACCTAACTAAATGTAGAAATACGTCATATATATTACTTGTAAGACTCAGTATTATTAAGATACAGATTCAATGTAATCTCAAATTCTCAGCAAAATTGTTTAGGAAATTGACAAGATGATTCTAAAATTTATATGGAAATGCAAAGGATGTAATGTAGCCAAACAATTTTGAAAAAGGAAGAAAAGTTGAAGCCTTAAAATGATCTAACTTGTTGTAAAGCTATAGCAGTCAACATGGTGTAGGATTTATGTAAAGATAAATAAATAGATTAATGGAACAGAATAGAGTTCAGACAGAAACCTTTACCTATATTGCCAAGTGATTGTCAATAAAGCTGTTAAGTCAGTTAGGAAAGCAATGTATTTTTATGAATGATGCTAGAACAACAGGATATACATATGAAAAAAATTGAAATCTGACTCACTCAATATACAAAGAAGTGATTAAAAGATCGCAGACCTAAATGTAAAAATTATGATCTAAATCTTTTTGAAGAAAACATAAAAATATATGCTTGTGACTTCAGGGTAGGTAAAGATTTATTAGAGATGACACAAACAAATCCCACAAATTACTAAAAGAAAACATTATCAGAATCAAAAGTTTCTGGGCCAGGCATGGTGGCTCACATCTGTAATCCCAGCACTTTGTGAGGCCAAGGCAGGAGGATTGCTTGAGGCAATCTAGAATCTAGAATATATTTAGAACTTCTATACATAGAAGACAAACAATCCAACAAAAAGATAGGCAGTCTTGGACAGACATTTTCTGAATGAAGATAATAGAGTGTGCTCAAATCACAGTTATCAGGAAATGCAAATTATACCAAAATAAACTGCTATTTTACACTTATTATGATAGCCAAACTTAAAAAGATGCTAATACAAAATGTTAGGGGAAATGTAAAGCAACTGGAACTCTCATACACTACTGGTGTCAGGGTAAAACGATACAACTACTTTGGAGAACGGTTTGGCAGTATAAAGTGAAAAACACATCCATCTCTGACTCAGTAATTCTATTCCTAGTCATATAAAACAAGATAAATGACAATGTATGTGCACAAAAGTACATATATACAAATGTTCATAGACGTCTTATTCATCAGAGCTTCAAATTGCAAATGTCTAGGAACTGAAGAATGGATAAACTAGCATACAATGAAATGATATTTAGTTATAAAAAGAAACCTTTCAATGGTAGATGCTACAATGCAAATGAATCTCAAAATCATTGTGAATGATAGAAGGCAGACACACAAGAGAGAGCATATTATATGATTCAATTTATATGAAGTTAGAAAGCAGTAAAAACAAATCTGTGGTGAGGGAAATCAGAGTACTCATTTAGGGTGAGGGAAAATGGAATGGAGAGGAGTATCAGGAAACTTTCTAAGAGGTGAAAATGTTTTACAGCTTCTTTTAAGTGATGGCTACATGGATACAACCACTGTCAAAACTAATCGAACTGAACATTTAAGATCTATATATTTTAGTCCATATAAATTATATCTCAATTTAAAAATAAGATACCATTGAGAAGTTTATTATGCAGATTCTTCGGCCCCATGCCAGGTAGACTAAATTAGAATATTCAGACTAAATTAAATTCTGCAAACCACTACTAAAGATATTTGACACAAAGCAGGAATTCCGTTTAGGTAAATTTATATAGAAAGGGAAAGGGACTTTATTTTTCAGTAGACATGGAAAGTGACTTACCTTTTCACAAAGGTGGAGAATAATAAGTAGCATCTGTTCATGATTATCTAACTCTTTCTGTCCCGTGGTAGAAAGGAGAATACATTCTGGGGAACTAAGGATCCATTTTCTTAAGGGAACAGGAATATGAATGAGTGGTGATTTTGTAGGACTGAAATGTTAAGAGGTATTAGACTTAGTGGCACTCTGGGTTAAATTTTGTGGGCTGGCCTAGGGACCTAATCAACATTTATCCTAATTGCTAGTTTGAGACATTGTATTCTGAGTTCCCAGTAATTGACTTACAAATGAACTTGGGAAACACTGCTAGCTTATAAATTGAGGACAGTCTACAAAAAAAAAAAAAAAAAAAAAAAAAACGCAAAAAACTTTTTACATGACAATTGAGAGAGAAAGAAGAATGTGGTAAAGAATATAAATGTGGGAACTAAGATAAATTAATCTTTTGCAGTGTTTGTAAGGTAAATGTCATCAACAACAGTAACACTGTAGCCCCTGTACTGCTAATACTCCATAAACTATCCTTGTGAGCTCTCTTTACCCCTTCAAGGAAGCAAAACATGAGCCTAGGTATTTTCGTTTTTACTCAGGATTGCAGCGAGCTGCTCAAACTCCCATATAATTGCAATTTCATTCCATTCTCTTTTCAGATATGCAATGAGCAGCAGGTTACAGATAGAAAACTTGGGCCCAAGCTGTGAGCTCTAGGACTTGATGCACGAGTTTTCCCTCTAGGAGGAATTTTCAGTTTTGGGTTTCCCTTAAAGAATTTCACATAGGGCCGGGTGCAGTGGCTCATGCCTGTAATCCCAGCACTTTGGGAGGCTGAGGCGGGCGGATCACGAGGTCAGGAGATGGAGACCATCCTGGCCAACATGGTGAAATCCCGTCTCTACTAAAAGTATAAAAAGTAGCTGGGCATGGTGGCATGTGCCTGTAATCCCAGCTACTCAGGAGGCTGGGGCAGGAGAATCACTTGAACCAGGGAGTCGGAGGTTGCAGTGAGCTGAGATTGCTCCATTGCACTCCAGCCTGGTGACAGAGCGAGACGCCGTCTGAAAAAAAAAAAAAAAAAGAATTTCACATAGAAAGCCATCAGCACCCCGTACAGTAGGAGCATGAAGCTGTGAGGAGCATGAACAGTGAGGCAAGCTTTGTAGAACAGATGTGAAAGAAGATTTTGTGGAAGAATCAGCAGAGCTGCTGTATTGGCAGAACGAAAGCACAAGGATGCCAGCAGGTGTCTATGAGCTCAGATACCTGGGAAATGACTCCAAAAACTAAAAGAGGTGTGCAAGGAAAGAAACTTCCAGGAATTTTCTTCCTTTGAAAGGATGTGATTTGACTGTGGTTGGCTATTTTTGTAAGTTTGTTCCCAGACTGAACCAAGGGTCAGGCTGCTTATTCTCTTGGTTCAGTAATGAGATGCAGAGGAATGGGAAAGAAGAGAGTTTATTTCTGTAACCAGGTATAGGGAGAATATTGAGGAAATATTGCCAGACCAACTCAAAATTACAAAGTTTTCCAGTGCTGATATACCTTCTAAGCTATATGTCTACGTGTAAGTGTGCATTCACCTAAAGATATAAGTGATTAATTTCTTCTAATCTATAATTAAGGTCTGAGTCCTGGAGATCTTCCTCTGGAGCCTCAGTAAATTTACTTAATTTAGATGGGTCCAGGTGCTGGAGGTGATTACTCTTACCTTGTGTCCCACTAAGTTATAGACATCTGGGGAGTTCCTTTAGACCCTGCAATAAAACTTGTTTAAACCTAAATGGGTCCTTGTATGGGGAGTGTGAGCATTCCTTCCTTATCTTGTCATGCTCCAAGACCCAGAAAGGCCTGGGCAAGACTCTTAGTGGACCTTTATTGGTTGTTCCAGCCTATGTGTAAGGGTACTGGCTTTCTCAGCCTTTAATATTTAACCTAACCATTTAGTCAGTGCTGAAACATTTGTTTCGGAGGCCTGCCTTTTCAGCTTTTGTGAGATCTGGCCTGCCAGAAGTTCATTAACCCTCCAGGCCATTCTCCACACTCCTGCTAGATGATGCTTCAAGACACAGGTAAGACTACATGACCCCTCTGTCTAACTAGAAAACTTTGGCCCCAAGCCATGGGCACTCACTGGCTAAATACAGGCAGACTTCTTAGAGGTTAAGAGTGTGAGTTCTGTGAGCATAATGACAGAGCAGGAGATATCAGCCTTCTTTGCCCCAGACACGAAAAAACAATGAGACAGCTATTTGTGAATGAAAATAGCCCCAGGAGGGCTCAACAGTCCAATTAAGAAGCTACAGCAACACAGTAGAGCAAAAAAGGAGAATAAAAAAAAGTAGAGCAAAAAGCTGCAGACTCCTTGCAGCTTTCACAATAAAGTATCCATCTCATAGTGTTAGTTGGTTCTAATCCTGGTGGCCTGTTCTGCAGAGTACACCAGCATTCAGTGCCACCTTGTCTACTCTGGAGAGGGAGATGCTGCTGTGCCTGGCTTGGAATGAGCTGTTGTGCCACCCTGAGACCAAGGCAGCCACCCACAGCCCCAACTCCATGCAAGCTCTGAACCCTAGAGCTATGGCTATTCTGTGAGTGACTGTACATTGGATGTCAGCTCTGCAGCTGCTCTCATGTGCCCATGCTCCAGATCTTACTCTGAGGTTGCTCCATGTGTGCCCACATCATGGGCACTGGAGCCACTGCCACTGTAAGCTATCCAGAACCCCAGACTCTGAAGATGCTGTCACATCATGAGTGCCTGTGCTATGGACTCCAGCTCTGTGGCTGCTCCACAAGCAACTGTGCATTAGACATTATTGCTACTACTACTAGGAGGGTGCCCACAAGCCATACCCAATGCCAAGATGGATCCTGTCAGCCATGACATCCCCCTTGGGTGAAAAAGAGATCAGGAGTTTCCTAGCAGCCTTATCCACCAAAGACCCCAACAGTCCTTGTTGCCACTGTGGACACCCACAGTGTCCTTAGTCATTGAATTCTCCTGCAATATTTGCTAATGCGGACCTCACTTAGTGGGATATTCATGGAGACTACTCCCCAAAACCAGAACTGCCACACCCTACCCAGTTGGCATGCTTGTACCTACCTACAGGTGAATGTCTCTCCCCTCCAAAACCAGTCTATGAAGTTTAGAATAGGTAAATGTACCATCACGTGCTTAAACATTGATGCAAGACTACAGGAAATACAACAAATCAAGAAAACATGACATCACCAAAGAAACATAATTATTTTCCAGTAGCCAGCCCCAAAGAAATGAAAATCTATAAATTGCCAGTAAAGGAATTTAAAATAATTGTTGTAAAGACACTCAGTGAGCTATAAGATAGCAGGTATAGAAAACTCAGTGAAATTAGAAAAACAATACACAAACAAAACTAGAAGTGCAACAGTGAGATGGAAGTTATAACAAAAGAACCAGACAGAAATTTTGGAACTGCTAAATACAATGACTGAAATGAAAAATGCTGTAAAGAGCCTCAACAGTACACTTAATCTAGCAGCAGAAAGAATCTATGAATTTGAAAGCAGGTCAGAGGAGAAAAAAAAAGAAGAAAGAAAAAAGTGAAGAAAGCCAAACTGAGTTATGGGACACTATCAACACCATCAAGTGAAACATGGCATTTCCCAGATGGGAAAGAGAGAGAAAGGGAGAGAGAAAGAAAGTATTTAAAGTAATAATGGCTGAAAATTTCTCAAATCTGGAGAGAGATGCAGACATTAAAGTCCATGAAGCTCATAGGTTTCTATACAGAATGAACTGTCTCAAAGGTAAATTAAAAAATCAGTCTCACTTACAAAAGGAGCAAAAACAATAAAAGACTAAGGTATAAATTTCACCAAGATAATGAAAGATCTGCACACTGAAAACTAGAAGTCATTGATGAATACAATTGAAGTAGATAAATCAATGGAAAGATACCTTGTGTTCATGAATTGGAAGAATTAATATTGTTAAAATTGTCCATACTATCTGAAACAATCCACAGATTGAATACAATCCTTATGAAAATTCCAATGACATTTTTCACAAAATGGTAAAAAATGATTCTACGTTCTTATGGAACCACAAAGAACGCTGAATAGCCAAAAGCAACCACGAGTGAAAAGAACAAATCTGGAGGCATTACATTACTTGACTTCAAAATATATTACAAAGCCACAGTAATCAAAGCAGCATAATACCAGCACAAAAACAGATATAAAGGCCAATGGAACAGAATAGAGAGCCCAGAAATAAATCCATGCATTTACAGTCAACTGATCTTCAACAATGGTGTCAAGCATATACAATGGCAAAAGGATAGTCTCTTCAATAAATGGTGTTGGGAAACTGGATATCATCAATGCAAAAAAGTGAAACTGGACCTCTATCTTACACCATTTACAAAAATTAACTAAAAATGGAATAAAGACTTAAATGTAAGATCAGAAATCGTAAAACTCTTAGAAGAAAACGTAGGGGAAAATCTTGACATTGATCTTGGCAATGATTTTTTATGACACCAAAAGCACAGGCAACAAAGCAAAAATAAACAAATAGGACAACATCAAACTAAAAATCTTCTGTGTAGCAAAGGAAACGATCAAGAAAATGAAAAAGCAACCTACAGAATGGGAAAAAAATAACTGCAAATATATCTGATAAGGTGTTACTATCTAAAATATGTGAGGAACACATACAATTCAATAGCATCAAAACAAATAATCTGGTTAAAAATATACAAAAGACCTAAATAAACATTTTTCCAAAGATACACAAATGGCTAATAGGTACATGAAAGGGTACTCATGATCACTAATTATCAGGAAAATATAAATCAAAGCTATGATGAGATATCACCTAATACCTATTGGGATGGCTATCATCAAAAAGACAAAAGGTAACAAAGGTTGGCAAGGATGTGGACAAAAAGGGAACCCTTGTACACTGTTGGTGTGAATGTAAATTGATACAGCCATTATGAAAAACAGTATAAAGTTTCCTCAAAAAATTAAAAATAGAATTACCATATGATCCATTATCACCACTTATGAGTATATGTATATGTGTGTATACACACACACACACACACACGTACATTAGAATATTATTCAGCCATAAGAAGAAGGAAATTGTGCCACTGACAACAACATGAATCCACCTGGAAGTCATTATGCTAAGTGAAATATGCTAGGCACAGAAAGACAAATACCATATGGTATTATTCATATGTAGAATCTAAACAAACAAACAAAAAGACAAACACAAAAACCAGAGTAGAATGGCAGTTGCCAGAACAGAGATGGGGATCTGGGCATGTGGTTGGTGGAGGAAAAAGGGTTGATCAAAGGGGGCAAAATTTCAGTTATAAGTCATATAATAAGTTTTGAAGATCTAATGTATAGCATGGTTACCATTGTCACTTTGGGAGGCCAAGGCAGGCGGATCACGAGGTCAGGAGATCGAGACCATCCTGGCTAACATGGTGAAACCCCGTCTCTACCAAAAATACAAAAAATTAGCCGGGCGTGGTGGCAGGCGCCTGTAGTCCTAGCTACTCGGGAGGCTGAGGCAGGAGAATGGCGTCAGCCCGGGAGGCGGAGCTTGCAGTGAGCAGAGATCGTGCCACTGCAGTCCAGCCTGGGCGACAGAGCAAGACTCCGTCTCAAAAAAAAAAAAAAAAACAAAAAAAAAAACTGCATTGTATTCCTGAAATTTGCTAAGAGAGTAGGTCTTGCATTCACACCCAAAAAATTGAAAAAAATATAACTATGTGAGGTAGTGTTCTGTTAATTGACTTGTCTTAATTATTTCATAATATGTAAGTATATGAAATGATCACATTGTGCACTTCAAATATATGCACTTATGTTTTTGTCCATTATACCTCAATAAAGCTGAAAGAAACTAATGAATAATAAGGACAAAAAAAGAGGGTGAGCTCTAGGCTCAGGCACCAACACCACCACTTACTAGTTCTGTAACTTTTGTCATATTAACATCCTCAACCCCATGCCTTAATTTTCTCTCTGTAAAATTGATTTAATGTTTTCTACAACAAAAGACTGTCATGAAGAATAAGAAAATGATGTGGAAAGTATCGGAGTTTTTCAAAAGGTAGAAATCCTAAAAATTAACTCCTTAACACAGTCTTGACACCCCTCCATTATTTGGCCCCACTTCCATCTTCAGTCCCATAAACTGCACCCTAGGTTCCAGCCTACAGAGCTACAAATAGTTACTGAATATTTAAGGTTGCTTCAGAACTCTAAGTCTCAATTCATGCTTTCTTCCCTTCATGTCTTTCCTGAACCCTATGCACACATTTTATTAGAGCATCTACTTTATTGCTCTCATTCATTTACTTCTCTGCCCATCTGTAATAGATTGTGAGCTCCGCAGGAACAGAGGCTCTGCCTGAGTTGTCTTAGTCCAGGCTCAGAGGCAGTATAATTTATTAGCGGCAGTAGGGGAAGTTAGGGTAGCAGTGGTAGTATTAATAATACAGTCATTCCTCAGTATTGGTGGGTAATTGATTTCAGGACTCCTTGAAGGATAACGACATCGATGATATCATGGCAGACAGAAGGCAGGACTACATTGCATCTCTGGATAGAGCAGCATGTGGTGGCTTGCATTGTGAATTTGAGCTCCAGATCGACTGCAAGAACAAACCAGCAATCCTGAGAGGACCCACAGACCCTCTGAAGGAAGTGAATTGCTCCTGCAGGACCTGAGAGACACCTCAAATACTATGAATGTTGCAACTGTGGAAGTGGGAAAGGGAGAACCTCCTCTCCTGAACACACACCCCCACTGGAGAAACTGAAGGTCTGTTTGTGGGATAAGTTTCTGACCTTACCTGGAGCTGAGTCAATTTAGAGAGCCGAGTAAAATAACAGGGGTAGAGGAAGCAGCAGAAGTGCCCTGGAAGCTCGCTGGTTCCCCAAGCAGCCCATTCCAGCCTGGTACCACAAGGATCCATCAGGAGGGTGGCCAGAGGAACAGGGGATAAAATGCCATAGGGAGAAGGAAATCTCTAGCTGAACTTTATAACAATTTGAATGAGGTGAGAAGCCTCCTGGCCAGAACTTGGGGGAGGGTGCAAATCCAGTGTGCAGACTCCACAGGCTGGGGAAAAGCCAAGCCCTTTCCTTTTGCAGCTGGGAGGTGGACATCCTGGGACAAGTTTTCAAGCCCATCTCACCCACCACCTGGAAACAGGCTCAGGGCTGTCAGGGGAGGACACGGTGGGAATGAGACTGGCCCTTGGGTTTGCTTGGGAGCTGGGTGAGGCCCATGACTGCCAGCTTTCCCCACTTCCCTGATAACCTGCTTGACTCAGTAGAGGCAGCCATAATCCTCCTAGGTACACAACTCCAGTGACCTGGGAATCTCACCTCCATCTCCCGACAGCAGCCAAAGCAAAATCCACCCAAGGAGAGTCTGAACTCAGACAGCCAAACACTGCCCCCACCTGATGGTCCTTCCTTACCCACCCTGGTAGCTGAAGACAAAGGGCATATAATCTTGGGAGTTCTAGGGCCCTGACCACCACCAGTTCCTCTCCATAATACCACAGCTGGTGCTCTCCGGAAAGTGCCACCTCCTGGCAGGAGGCCAACCAGCATAAAAATAGAGCATTAAGCCACCAAAGCTGAAAACCTTCATGGAATCCATTGCGCCCCTGCCCCCGCCACCTCCACTGGAACTCATGGTGATATCCATAGCTGAGAGACCCATACACGGTACACCACAGAACTCTGTACAGACAACCCCCAGTACCAGCCCGGAGCCAGGTAGACTCGCTGGGTGGCTAGACCCAAGAAGACAGACAACAATCACAGCAGTTCAGCTCACAGGAATCCACATCCTTAGGAAAAGGGTGAGAGTACTACATCAAGGGAACACCCCATGGGACAATAGAACCTGGACAACAGCCTTCAGCTCTAGACCTTCCCTCTGACAGAGCCCACCCAAATCAGAAGGAACCAGAAAACCAACCCTAGTAATATGACAAAATAAGGCTCTTTAACACCCCCCAAAAATCATACTAGTTCACCAGCAATGGATGCAAACCAAGAAGAAATACCTGATTTACCTGAAAAACAATTCAGGAGGTTAGTTATTAAGCTAATCAGGGAGGCACCAGAGAAAGGCAAAACCCAATGCAAGGAAACCCAAAAAACAATACAAGAAGTGAAGGGAGAAATATTCAAGGAAATAGATAGCTTAAAGAAAAAACAATAAAAAATTCAAGAAACTTTGCACACTTTTAGACGTGAACTGCTTTGGAAAGTCTCAGCAATAGAATTGAACTAGTAGAAGAAAGAAATTCAGAGCTCAAAGACAAAGTCTTTGAATGAACCCAATCCAACAAAGACAAAGCAAAAAGAATAAGAAAATATGAACAAAGCCTCCGAGAAGTCTGGGATTATGTTAAATGACCAAACCTAAGAATAATTGGTGTTCCTGAGGAAGAAGAGAATTCTAAAAACTTGGAAAACATATTTTGGGGAATAACTGAGGAAAACTTCTCTGGCCTTGCTAGAGACGTAGACATCCAAATACAAGAAGCACAAAGAGCACCTAGGAAATTCATCTCAAAAAGATCATTGCCTAGGCACATTGTCATCAGGTTATCCAAAGTTAAGATGAAGGAAAGAATCTTAAGAGCTGTGAGACAGAAGCACCAGGTAACCTATAAAGGAAAATTGATCAGATTAACAGCAGACTTCTCAGCAGAAACCCTACAAGCTAGAAGGGATTGGGGCCCTATCTTCAGCCTCCTCAAACAAAACAATTTTCAGCCAAGAATTTGGTACCCAGCAAAACTAAGCATCATATATGAAGGAAAGATACAGTCTTTTTCAGACAAACGAATGCTGAGAGAATTTGCCATTACCAAGCCACCACTACAAGAACTGCTAAAAGGAGCTCTACATCTTGAAACAAATCCTGGGGACACTTCAAAATAGAACCTCTTTAAAGCATAAATCACACAGGACCTATAAAAAAAAATAAGTTAAAAAGCAAAAACCAAAAACAAAAAATCCAAAGTACACAGGCAACAAAGACCATGATGAATGCAATGGTACCTCACATTTCAAGACTAACATTGAATGTAAATGGCCTTAATCCTCCATTTAAAAGATACAGAACTGCATAATAGATAAGAACTCACCAGAAAACTATCTGCTTCCTTCGGGAGACTGATGTAACACATAAGGACTCACATAAACTTAAAGCAAAGGGGTAGAAAAGGCATTTCATGCAAGTGGACACCAAAAGCCAACAGGGGTAGTTATTCTTATATCAGACAAAACAAACTTTAAAACAACAGCAGTTAAAAGAGACAAAGAGGGACATTATATAATGGTAAAAGGCCTTGTGGAACAGGAAAATATCACAATCCTAAACATATATGCACCTAACACTGGAACTCCCAAATTTAAAAAACAATTACTAATAGACCTAAGAAGTGAGATAGACAGCAGCACAACAATAGCGGGGGACTTCATTACTCCACTGACAGCACTAGACAGGTCATCAAGACAGAAGGTCAACAAAGAAACAATGGATTTAAACTATACCTTGGAACAAATGGACTTAACAGATATTTACAGAACATTTCATTCAATAGCCACATAATATGTGTTATATTAAGTACCCTGAACAGCCCAATAACAAGCAGCGAGATTTAAATGGTAATTTTTTTTTGGCTTGGTCATCCCCAGAGGATGCAGTTGTTTTTATTTATTTTTTATTTATGTATTTTTAAATTTTATTTTATTATTATTATACTTTAAGTTTTAGGGTACATGTGCACAATGTGCAGGTTAGTTACATATGTATACATGTGCCATGCTGGTGTGCTGCACCCATTAACTCGTCATTTAGCATTAGGTATATCTCCTAAAGCTATCCCTCCCCCCTCCCCCGACGCACAACAGTCCCCAGAGTGTGATGTTCCCCTTCCTGTGTCCATTTGTTCTCATTGTTCAATTCCCACCTATGAGTGAGAACATGCGGTGTTTGGTTTTTTGTCCTTGCGATAGTTTACTGAGAATGATGATTTCCAATTTCATCCATGTCCCTACAAAGGACATGAACTCATCATTTTTTATGGCTGCATAGTATTCCATGGTGTGTATGTGCCACATTTTCTTAATCCAGTCTATCATTGTTGGACATTTGGGTGGGTTCCAAGTCTTTGCTATTGTGAATAGTGCCGCAATAAACATACGTGTGCATGTGTCTTTATAGCAGCATGATTTATAGTCCTTTGGGTATATACCCAGTAATGGGATGGCTGGGTCAAATGGTATTTCTAGTTCTCGATCCCTGAGGAATCGCCACACTGATTTCCACAATGGTTGAACTAGTTTACAGTCCTACCAATAGTGTAAAAGTGTTCCTATTTCTGCACATCCTCTCCAGCACCTGTTGTTTCATGACTTTTTAATGATTGCCATTCTAACTGGTGTGAGACGGTATCTCATTGTGGTTTTGATTTGCATTTCTCTGATGGCCAGTGATGATGAGCATTTTTTCATGTGTCTTTTGACTGCATAAATGTCTTCTTTTGAGAAGTGTCTGTTCATGTCCTTCACCCATTTTTCATGGGGTTGTTTGTTTTTTTCTTGTAAATTTGTTTGAGTTCATTGTAGATTCTGGATATTAGCCCTTTGTCAGATGAGTGGGTTGCGAAAATTTTCTCCCATTTTGTAGGTTGCCTGCTCACTCTGATGGTAGTTTCTTTTGCTGTGCAGAAGCTCTTTAGTTTAATTAGATCCCATTTGTCAATTTTGTCTTTTGTTGCCATTGCTTTTGGTGTTTTAGACATGAAGTCTTTTCCCATGCCTGTGTCTTGAATGGTAATGCCTAGGTTTTCTTCTAGGGTTTTTATGGTTTTAAGTCTAACGTTTAAGTCTTTAATACATCTCGAATTAATTTTTGTATAAGGTGTAAGGAAGGGATCCAGTTTCAACTTTCTACATATGGCTAGCAAGTTTTCCCAGCACCATTTATTAAATAGGGAATCCTTTCCCCATTGCTTGTTTTTCTCAGGTTTGTCAAGGATCAGATAGTTGTAGATATGCGGTGTTATTTCTGAGGGCTCTGTTTTGTTCCATTGATCTATATCTCTGTTTTGGTACCAGTACCATGCTATTTTGGTTACTGTAGCCTTGAGGTATAGTTTGAAGTCAGGTAGCATGATGCCTCCAGCTTTGTTCTTTTGGCTTAGGATTGACTTGGCGATGCGGGCTCTTTTTTGGTTCCATATGAACTTTAAAGTAGTTTTTTCCAATTCTGTGAAGAAAGTCATTAGTAGCTTGATGGGGATGGCATTGAATCTATAAATTACCTTGGGCAGTATGGCCATTTTCATGATATTGATTCTTCCTACCCATGAGCATGGAACGTTCTTCCATTTGTTTGTATCCTCTTTTATTTCATTGAGCAGTGGTTTGTAGTTCTCCTTGAAGAGGTCCTTCACGTCCCTTGTAAGTTGAATTCCTAGGTATTTTATTCTCTTTGAAGCAATTGTGAATGGGAGTTCACTCATGATTTGGCTCTCTGTTTGTCTGTTGTTGGTGTATAAGAATGCTTGTGATTTTTGTACACTGATTTTGTATCCTGAGACTTTGCTGAAGTTGCTTATCAGCTTAAGGAGATTTTGGGCTGAGACAATGGGGTTTTCTAGATATACAATCATGTCATCTGCAAACAGGGACAATTAGACTTCCTATTTTCCTAATTGAATACCCCTTATTTCCTTCTTCTGCCTAATTGCCCTGGCCAGAACTTCCAACACTATGTTGAATAGGAGTGGTGAGAGAGGGCATCCCTATCTTGTGCCAGTTTTCAAAGGGAATGCTTCCAGTTTTTGCCCATTCAGTATGATATTGGCTGTGGCTTTGTCATAGATAGCTCTTATTATTTTGAGATACGTCCCATCAATACCTAATTTATTGAGAGTTTTTAGCATGAAGCGTTGTTGAATTTTGTCAAAGGCCTTTTCTGCATCTATTGAGATAATCATGTGGTTTTTGTCTTTGGTTCTGTGTATATGCTGGATTACATTGATTGATTTGCGTATATTGAACCAGCCTTGCATCCCAGGGATGAAGCCCACTTGATCATGGTGGATAAGCTTTTTGATGTGCTGCTGGATTCGGTTTGCCAGTATTCTATTGAGGATTTTTGCATCAATGTTCATCAAGGATATTGGTCTAAAATTCTCTTTTTTGGTTGTGTCTCTGCCCGGCTTTGGTATCAGGATGATGCTGGCCTTATAAAATGAATTAGGGAGGATTCCCTCTTTTTCTGTTGATTGGAATAGTTTCAGAAGGAATGGTACCAGTTCCTCCTTGTACCTCTGGTAGAATTCGGCTGTGAATCCATCTGGTCCTGGACTCTTTTTGGTTGGTAAGCTTTTGATTATTGCCACAATTTCAGAGCCTGTTATTGGTCTATTCAGAGATTCAACTTCTTCCTGGTTTAGTCTTGGGAGGGTGTATGTGTCGAGGAATTTATCCATTTCTTCAAGATTTTCTAGTTTATTTGGGTAGAGGTGTTTGTAGTATTCTCTGATGGTAGTTTGTATTTCTGTGGGATCGGTGGTGATATCCCCTTTATCATTTTTTATTGCGTCTATTTGATTCTTCTCTCTTTTTTTCTTTATTAGTCTTGCTAGCGGTCTATCAATTTTCTTGATCCTTTCAAAAAACCAGCTCCTGGATTCATTAATTTTTTGAAGGGTTTTTTGTGTCTCGATTTCCTTCAGTTCTGCTCTGATTTTAGTTATTTCTTGCCTTCTCCTAGCTTTTGAATGTGTTTGCTCTTGCTTTTCTAGTTTTTTAAATTGTGATATTAGGGTGTCAATTTTGGATCTTTCCTGCTTTCTCTTGTGGGTATTTAGTGCTATAAATTTCCCTCTACACACTGCTTTAAATGTGTCCCAGAGATTCTGGTATGTTGTGTCTTTGTTCTCGTTGGTTTCAAAGAACATCTTTATTTCTGCCTTCATTTCGTTATGTACTCAGTAGTCACTCAGGAGCAGGTTGTTCAGTTTCCATGTAGTTGAGCGGTTTTGAGTGAGTTTCTTAATCCTGACTTCTAGTTTGATTGCACTGTGGTCTGAGAGACAGTTTGTTATAATGTCTGATCTTTTACATTTGCTGAGGAGAGCTTTACTTCCAACTATGTGGTCAATTTTGGAATAGGTGTGGTGTGGTGCTGAAAAAAAATGTATATTCTGTTGATTTGGGGTGGAGAGTTCTGTAGATATCTATTAGGTCCACTTGGTACAGAGCTGAGTTCAATTCCTGGGTATCCTTGTTAACTTTCTGTCTCGTTGATCTGTCTACTGTTGACAGTGGGGTGTTAAAGTCTCCCATTATTATTGTGTGGGAGTCTAA
The DNA here is from genome assembly GCF_000001405.40 of Homo sapiens. Lineage (NCBI taxonomy): Eukaryota > Metazoa > Chordata > Mammalia > Primates > Hominidae > Homo > Homo sapiens. The sequence goes on from NC_000001.11 coordinate 238,040,752, forward strand.
GTCTCTTTGTAGGTCACTGAGGACTTGCTTTATGAATCTGGGTGCTCCTGTACTGGGTGCATATATATTTAGGATAGTTAGCTCTTCTTGTTGAATTGATCCCTTTACCATTATGTAATGGCCTTCTTTGTCTCTTTTGATCTTTGTTGGTTTAAAGTCTGTTTTATCAGAGACTAGGATTGCAACCTCTGCCTTTTTTTGTTTTCCATTTGCTTGGTAGATCTTCCTCCATCCTTTTATTTTGAGCCTATGTGTGTCTCTGCATGTGAGATGGGTTTCCTGAATAGAGCACACTGATGGGACTTGACTCTTTATCCTATTTGCCAGTCTGTGTCTTTTAATTGGAGAATTTAGTCCATTTACATTTAAAGTTAATATTGTTATGTGTGAATTTGATCCTGTCATTATGACGTTAGCTGGTTATTTTGCTCGTTAGTTGATGCAGTTTCTTCCTAGCCTCGATGGTCTTTACATTTTGGCATGATTTTGCAGTGGCTGGTATCGGTTGTTCCTTTCCATGTTTAGTGCTTCCTTCAGGAGCTCTTTTAGGGCAGGCCTGGTGGTGACAAAATCTCTCAGCATTTGCTTGTCTGTAAAGTATTTTATTTCTCCTTCACTTATGAAGCTTAGTTTGGCTGGATATGAAATTCTGCGTTGAAAATTCTTTTCTTTAAGAATGTTGAATATTGGCCCCCACTCTCTTCTGCCTTGTAGAGTTTCTGCCAAGAGATCCGCTGTTAGTCTGATGGGCTTCCCTTTGTGGTAACCCGACCTTTCTCTCTGCCTGCCCTTAACATGTTTTCCTTCAGTTCAGCTTTGGTGAATCTGACAATTATGTGTCTTGGAGTTGCTCTTCTCGAGGAGTATCTTTGTGGCATTCTCTGTATTTCCTGAATCTGAATGTTGGCCTGCCTTACTAGATTGGGGAAGTTCTCCTGGATAATATCCTGCAGAGTGTTTTCCAACTTGGTTCCATTCTCCCTGTCACTTTCAGATACACCAATCAGACATAGATTTGGTCTTTTCACATAGTCCCATATTTCTTGGAGGCTTTGTTTGTTTCTTTTTATTCTTTTTTCTCTAAACTTCCCTTCTCGCTTCATTTCATTCATTTCATCTTCCATCACTGATACCCTTTCTTCCAGTTGATCGCATCGGCTCCTGAGGTTTCTGCATTCTTCACGTAGTTCTCGAGCCTTGGCTTTCAGCTCCATCAGCTCCTTTAAGCACTTCTCTGTATTGGTTATTCTAGTTATACATTCGTCTAAATTTTTTTCAAAGTTTTCAACTTCTTTGCCTTTGGTTTGAATTTCCTCCTGTAGCTCGGAGTAGTTTGATCGTCTGAAGCCTTCTTCTCTCAACTCGTCAAAGTCATTCTCCATCCAGCTTTGTTCCATTGCTGGTGAGGATCTGCGTTCCTTTGGAGGAGGAGAGGCGCTCTGCTTTTTAGAGTTTCCAGTTTTTCTGCTCTGTTTTTTCCCCATCTTTGTGGTTTTATCTACTTTTGGTCTTTGATGATGGTGATGTACAGATGGGTTTTTGGTGTGGATGTCCTTTCTGTTTGTTAGTTTTCCTTCTAACAGACAGGACCCTCAGCTGCAGGTCTGTTGGAGTTTGCTAGAGGTCCACTCCAGACGCTGTTTGCCTGGGTACCAGCAGCGGTGGCTGCAGAACAGTGGGCTTTCATGAACCGCGAATGCTGCTGTCTGATCATTCCTCTGGAAGTTTTGTCTCAGAGGAGTACCCGGCCGTGGGAGGTGTCAGTCTTCCCCTACTGGGGGGTGCCTCCCAATTAGACTGCTCGGGGGTCAAGGGTCAGGGACCCACATGAGGAGGCAGTCTGCCTGTTCTCAGATCTCCAGCTGCATGCTGGGAGACCCACTGCTCTCTTCAAAGCTGTCAGACAGGGACATTTAAGTCTGCAGAGGTTACTGCTGTCTTTTTGTTTGTCTGTGCCCTGCCCCCAAAGGTGGAGCCTACAGAGGCAGGCAGGCCTCCTTGAGCTGTGGTGGGCTCCACCCAGTTCGAGCTTCCTGGCTGCTTTGTTTACCTAAGCAAGCCTGGGCAATGGCGGGTGCCCCTCCCCCAGCCTCGCTGCCGCCTTGCAGTTTGATCTCAGACTGCTGTGCTAGTAATCAGTGAGACTCCGTGGGTGTAGGACCCTCCGAGCCAGGTGTGGGATATAATCTCCTGGTGCGCTGTTTTTTAAGCCCGTTGGAAAAGCGCAGTATTAGGGTGGGAGTCACCTGATTTTCCAGGTGCCGTCTGTCACCCCTTTCTTTGACTAGGAAAGGGAACTCCCTGACCCCTTGTGCTTCCCGAGTGAGGCAATGCCTCGCCCTGCTTTGGCTCGCGCATGGTGCGCTGCACCCACTGTCCTGCGCCCACTCTCTGGCACTCCCTAGTGAGATGAACCCGGTACCTCAGATGGAAACTGCAGAGATCACCCGTCTTCTGTGTCGCTCACGCTAGGAGCTGTAGACCGGAGCTGTTCCTTTTTGGCCATCTTGGCTCGAAATGGTAATTAAAAAATTACCAAAAAAAAAAAAAAAAAAAAGGCCAGGACCAGATGGATTCACAGCAGAATTCTACCAGACATTCAAATAATTGGTACCAATCTTTTTGACACTATTCCACAAGATAGAAAAAGAAGGAACCCTCCCTAATTCATTCTATGAAGCCAGCATCACCCTAATACCAAAACCAGGAAAGGGCATAACCAGAAAAGAAAACTACAGACCGATATCCTTGATGAACATAGATGCTAAAATCCTTAACAAAATACTAGCTAACTAAATCCAGCAACATATCAAAAAGATAATCCACCATGATCAAGTGAGTTTCATACCAGGGATGCAGGGATGATTTAACGTACACAAGTCAATAAATGTGATACATCACATAACCAGAATTAAAAACAAAAATCACATGATCATCTCAATAGATGCAGAAAAAGCATTTGACAAAATCTAGCATCGCTTTATGATTAAAACTCTCAGCAAAACTGGCATACAAGGGACATATCTTAATGTAATAAAAGCCACCTATAACGAACCCTTAGCCAACATCATACTGAATCGGGAAAAGTTGAAAGCATTCCCTCTGAGAACTGGAACAGATAAGGATGCCTGCTCTTACCACTTGTCTTCAACTTAGTACTTGAAGTCCTAGCCAGAGCAATCAGATAAGAGAAAGAAATAAAGGACATCCAAATTGGTAAAAAGGAAGTCACACTGTCACTGTTTGCTGATGATATGATTGTTTACCTCGAAAACCCTAAGGACTCCTCCAGAAAGCTCCTAGAACTGATAAAAGAATTCAGCAAAGTTTCCAGATACAAGAGTAATGTACACAAATCAGTAGCTCTTCTACACACCAACAATGACCAAGCAGAAAAGCAAATCAAGAACTGAACCCCCTTTACAATAGCTGCAAAAAAAAAAAAAAACCCAAAAAAAAAAACTTAGGAATATACCTAACCAAGGAGTTGAAAGACCTCTACAAGGAAAACTACAAAACAGTGCTGAAAGAAAACATGGATGACACAAACAAATGGAAACCCATCCCATGCTCATGGATGGGTAGAATCAATATTGTGAAAATGACTGTACTACCAAAAGCAATCTACAAATTCAATGCAATTCCCAGCAAAATACCACCATCATTCTTCACCAATTGGAAAAAAAATCCTAAAATTCATGTGGAACCAAAAAAGAGCCCACATAACCAAAGCAAGACTAAGCAAAAAGAACAAATCTGGAGGCATCAACTACCTGATTTCAAACTATACTATAAAGCCATAGTCACCAAAACAGTATGTTACTGGTATAAAATTAGGCACATAGACCAATGGAACAGAATAGAGAGCCCAGAAATAAACCCAAATACATACAGCCAACTGATCTTTGACAAAGCAAACAAAAACATAAAGTGGGGAAAGGACACCTTTTTCAACAAATGATGCTGGGATAATTGGCTAACCACATATAGGAGAATGAAACTGGATCCTCATCTCTCACCTTAAAAAAAATCAACTCAAGATGAATTAATAACTTAAACCTAAGACCTGAAACTATAAAAACCCTAGAAGATAACATTGGAAAAACCCTCCTAGTCCTTGGCTTAGGCAAGGATTTAATGACCAAGAACCCAAAATCAAATGCAGTTAAAACAAAGATAAATAACTGGGACCTAATCAAACTAAAGAGTTTTGCATGGCAAAAGAAACAGTGAGCAGAGTAAATAGGTAACCCACAGAGTGGGAGAAAATCTTTATAATCTATACATCTGACAAAGGACTAATATCCAGAATCTGCAATGAACTCAAACAAATCAGTAACAAAAAACCAATCCCATCAAAAAGCGGGCTAAGGACACGAACAGACAATTCTCAAAAGAAGATGTACAAATGGCCAACAAACACATGAAAAAATGCTCAACATCACTAATGATCAGGGAAATGCAAATCAAAACCACAATGTGATACCACCTAACTCCTGCAACATTGGCCATAATAAAAAAATCAAAAAACAGTATATGTTGGCACGAATGTGGTGATCAGGGAACACTTCTGTACTGCTGGTGGGAATGTAAACTAGTACAGCCACCATGGAAAACAGTGTGGAGATTCCTTAAAAACTAACAATAGAACTACCATTTCATCCAGCAATCCCACTACTGGGTATCTACCCAGAGGAAAAGAAGTCGTTATTTGAAAAAGATACTCGCACACGCATGTTTATAGTAGTGCAATTCACAATTGCAAAATCCTGGAACCAACTCAAATGCCCATCCATCAATAAGTAGATAAAGAAACTGTTGTATATTTGTATGACGGAATATTTCTCAGCCATAAAAAGGAATTAATTAATAGCATTTGCAATGACCTGGATGAGATTGGGGACTATTATTTTAAGTGAAGTAACTCAGGAATGGAAAAACAAACATTGTATGTTCTCATTGATATGTGGGAGCTAAGCTATGAGGAGGCAAATGCGTAAGAATGATTCAGTGGACTTTGGGGACTTGGGGAGAAGAGGGGAGAGGGGAAAAGGATAAAACACTACAAATATGGTGCAGTGTATACTGCTCTGGTGATGGGTGCACCAAAATCTCACAAATCACCACTAAAGAACTTACTCATGTAACCAAATGCCATCTGTACCCCAATAACTTATGAAAACAAAAAAACAAACCATAAAACAAAATTGACAGATGCTCAAGTCACTGTTATAAAAAATTTGCATATAACCTATGTATATCCTCTTGCCTACTTTAAATTATTTCTAGATTACTTATACCTAACATAATGTAAATGACATGTAAATAGTTGTTATACTGTATCGTTTGGGGAAAAATGACAAGAAAAAATGTCTGTACATGTTTACTACAAAGACTTTTAAAAAATATATACTTTAAGTTCTGGGATACATGTGCAGAACTTGCAGGTTTGTTACATAGGTATACATGTGCCATGGTGGTTTGCTGAATCCATCAACCCATCATCTAGGTTTTAAGCCCCGCATGCATTAGGTATGTGTCCTAATGCTCTCCCTCCGCTTGCCCCCAACTCCCAACAGGACCCAGTGTGTGATATTCCCCTCCCTGTGTCCCTGTGTTCTCATTGTTCAACTCCCACTTATGAGTGAGAACATGCAGTGTTTGGTTTTCTGTTCCTGTGTTAGTTTGCTGAGAATGATGGTTTCCAGCGTCATTCATATCCCTGCAAAGGATATGAACTCATTCTTTTTTATGGCTGCATAGTATTCGATGGTGTATATGTGCTACATTTTCTTTATCCATTCTATCATTGATGGGCATTTGGGTTTGTTCCAAGTCTTTGCTATTGTGAATAGTGCTGCAATAAACATACATGTGCATATATCTTTATAGTAGAATGATTTATGATCCATTGGGTATATACCCAGTAATGCAATTGCTGGGTCAAATGGTATTTCTGGTTCTAGATCCTTGAGGAATCACCACATTGTCTTCCATAATTGTTGAACTAATTTACACTCCCACCAACAGTGTAAAAGCGGTCCTATTTCTCCACATCCTCTCCAGCATCTGTTGTTTCCTGACTTTTTAATGATCTCCATTCCTGCTGGTGTGAGATGATATCTCATTGTGGTTTTTTCCTCATGACCAGTGATGACGAGTTTTTTTTCATGTTTATTGGCCACATAAATGTCTTCTTTGAGAAGTGTCTGTTCATGTCCTTCGCCCACTTTTTGATGGGGTTGTTTGTTTTTTTTTTTGTAAATTTGTTTGAGTTCCTTGTAGATTCTGGATATTAGATCTTTGTCAGATGGATAGATTGCAAAATTTTTCTCCCATTCTGTGGGTTGCCTGTTTACTGTGATGATAGTTTCTTTTGCTGTGCAGAACCTCTTTAGTTTAATTAGATCCTATTTGTCTCTTTTGTCTTTTGTTGCCATTGCTTTTGGTGTTTTAGTCATGAAGTCTTTGCCCATGCCTATGTCCTGATGGTGTTGTCTAGGTTTTCTTCTAGGGTTTTTATGGTTTTAAGTCTTATGTTTAAGTCTTTAATCCATCTTAAGTTAATTTTTGTATAAGGTGTAAGGAAGGGGTCCAGTTTCAGTTTTCTGCATATGGCTACCAGTTTTCCCAACACCATGTATTAAATAGGGAATCCTTTCCCAATTGCTTCTTTTTGTCAGGTTTATCAAAGATCAGATTGTTGTATATGTGTGGCATTATTTCTGAGGCTTCTGTTCTGTTCCATTGGTTTATATATCTGTTTTGGTACCAGTAACAAAATGCTGCTTTTGTTACTGTAGAGTTGTAGTATAGTTTGAAGTCAGGTAGCATGATGCCTCCAGTTTTGTTCTTTTTGCTTAGGATTGTCTTGGCTATATGGGCTCTTTTTTGGTTCCATATGAAATTTAAAGTATTTTTTTCTAGTTCTGTGGAGAAAGTCACTGGTAGCTTGATTGGAATAGCATTGAATCTATAAATTACTTTGGGCAGTATGGCAATTTTCTTGATATTGATTCTTCGTGTCCATGAGCATGGAATTTTTTTCCACTTGTTTGTGTCCTCTCTTATTTCCTTGAGCAGTGGTTAGTACAAATACTTTTCAAAAAATATTTTTGATTTGTGTTTGGTTGAATCCATGGAGGTGGAACCCATGGATATGCAGGGCTGAATGTTAATGATAGTAGTAGAAATATTATACCATTAACATCAGCAATAATTGTTAATATTTATTATTTGTGCTTAGCACTTTGTTATCTCTTATAATGCAATAACTTTATGAGGTATTTATTATACTTGTCCTCACTTTACAAATGAGCAACTGAGATGCATAAATATCAGGTATTCTGTGCAATGTTATACCATCAGTAAATAGTAGCTCTAGGACTCACCCCTGGTTGCTCCAGAATGCATGCTCTTGATACTGATAGTGTCCTCTCTTCAGTGAAGGATGACAGGAGGTAAGAAGGTCAATCATGGGCTTACTGCCAAAAATCTTTTCCTTTAGAATTATAGAAATTCAGTTTGGGGAAATTGCTTAGCTATCTCTTCAGGTATACATCTTAAATTGATGCAGAAAATATATGAACAAGCTATTTATGAAAATAATTCAATCATATTAGACTGCAGCTCCAGGGATAAGTCATTGGAGGAGTTCATATCTGCCTGTAACAATGGGGGCATTGTGTTAACAAATGAAAAATGTTGACATACAGATTTCTTTATCCCACGGATGAGCAAACTGACAAAGCTGGACATTCGTCTTGTTATTTGTAATCATTCTCCGATTTTCTGTTTCTTTGATAATTGGCATGCTTATGGACATCTGGGACTTTGTCTGTTGGTCTTGGGAGGCTTCATGGCCTGTTATGCCAAGTCTGCAGAGCAGCCATCTGAAGATATCTCAACAGGTATTCATTACACTTACTTATGAGGTCCTGTCTCAAATCCTCTCACTGTGTAGATGTTGGTGGGGGATAGATTGTCATGTGGCCAGTACTGAAAGAATGTAAGAACGTATTTACCCCCAGTGATATGAGGCACATTAGAATCTCTGTTTTTATATTACAATAACTCACAAGCTTTGCAACAAAACAGTTGAGGGTTAAATAAAAGTTGCAATTTTGAAATGTTATTAAATGATATATAAAATTTATGATGAATACTTTCAAATAATACAGTAGCAGCCAAAGAAATTGAATGAGGGTAAAAATTTACATTATTTTTCCTCTCTGAAAAGAGTTCCCACATACCCTTCAATACAAATTTAAAACAAACAGCAATTACAGTTTATTTTTCAACTCACAGTAGGGGCTGTTTAGATTTTGGGTCTTTTTGAGCTTGTTAAATTCCTTTGTTCTGCTTTGAGAATCAGCAGGATACAATTGTAAGTGTCCGATGTAGGAACTTTGTCTTATTACCTAACCTTCAGTGGCTTAAAACTGTTTCCATATGAGTAAAAGAAGTAGTAGGTTTCATCCTAAATGGCATGTTATAATTTTGCCATGTGTTTATGTGGTGCTATGAAGCCACTGGGGTTCATGTCTATATAACCCTGGCAGTTATAGTTTTAAATGCCATAGAATAAACTCTAAGAGAAATTTCTCAATCTTTCTGATTTGCTTTTAACAGTTGAGTTAATTCTATGAGTATTTAGCCAGCCGGTACAAACTGTTGTAAAGGATGTTTACCAGACTGATCAATCACATCTACTTGGTCACAGTTTATTAACATCTAAACAGACTCAGTGTGGGAGAGGGTGAGAGGGAAGAATTCATCCTCCTTCATTGTGCCTATAGGAAAGATTTAAAGTTGTTTATTTTATTTCAAACAACGTATTGACAGTAAGACTGTTCATTATTGCTCAATGCAATTAGACTAGGAGTAGTCTAATTCATTGAAAATAATATTATGACTACATTTTAATATTATTATTCATTAAGAGCCCAAAATTAAGAAACAAAGAAGGAAAAAAAATGCCTATAATCCCACCACCAAGAACAATGGATATCATTTCAGAGTGTACATTTCCAAATGTTGTTTTATATATGTGTTTAGAAGACTTTTACTATGTATGGGTACAAATTTTTTCAAAATACCAGCATTCCATATGTGCTATTTGTGATGCATTTTATTCACTGAAATCCATTTTATACCACATTTCCTCATGTCATTGAGTATGCTTTTAAAGAAATAATTTTAATAGATTCTAGCATTTTAATTGTTCAGATACACTAAAATAGTAAAAAAAATATTTTTTAGACCGAGTGCAGTGGCTCATGCCTGTAATCCCAGCACTTTGAGAGGCCAAGGCAGGTGGATCATGAGCTCAGGAGTTCAAGACCAGCCTGACCAACATGGTGAAACCCCGTCTCTACTAAAAATACAAAAATTAGCTGGGCGTGGTGGCATGCTGCTGTAATCCCAGCTACTCAGGAGGCTGAGGCAGGAGAATTACTTGAACCCGGGAGGTAGAGGTTGCAGTCAGCCAAGATTGTGCCATTGCACTCCAGCCTTGGCGACAGAGCGAGACTCCGACTCAAAAAAAAAAAAAAAAAAGTTTTTTGCTATTATATACAGTGCTACTATAAATATCCCCATAACCAAACATTTGTGTACATTCTTATTTCTATTAGATAAATTCCCAGTAGTTGAAGTAATACCTTTATCATATACTAACTCACATATGTATCTATGTATCTTGTTCTGAATTTTCTAATCTGTTACACTGATCTGTCTACCCATTCCTGTGTAGTTCCTCACTCTTTTAATTATTATTGATGATATACTATTTCAAAAGATTTTTCTTTAATATATAGATTCCCCAGCCTTCTCCAATAAATTAATCAATGTCATAAATCCCATAGAATCGAGGATATTGATCTCTAAAGTCTAACCTATTTTGTTGTATTTTAATCATCCAATGCCTTCCCTGTCCAAAAGTGGGTAATGGCTAATCACCAACCTCTACCTACAGTTTTCTCTCATAAATTTTTTGAAGGTTTTTTTTTTTTTTTCACTAAGAACAATTTTCCCCCAAGGGCATTATGATCAAATTCCAAACTAATTTATCACTAATTGTGCTTACACAGATATGATTTACTATTTTCCACTATTCATTTTGCTGTTTCTCATTTTCATTGTTCATCCTACTATTTCTCTCTTCATTGAGGGTTGTTATTTTCTTCATTAGCAGGGCTTTTCACCTTTCTTAAACTCCTATGTGGCACAGAGACATTTACAACACTAGTTCGTTTCCCAACACACACCATTTCTCCATTTCTTTCTGCATTTACGTTGGTTCTGGTGTTTGGAGATGAATATGGATCTTCCAGTCCACTGATTTTTTCATGTGGATTTCACAAATGAAAGAAAGGAGACACTTAGCCACTCTGACTTATCATTATGAAAGTTATTTTATTTACATACAAGATCAAAGGACAGCAAGTGAACAAAACACTTATTTCTTAGAAAGTACAGAACATGAAATCTTTATAGAACAGCTGAAGAATAAGGAAAATCTTAAAAAAAAAAAGAATACGACAGTGTTCATGGTAACTTTATGATCATAAATAGCATTCATTAAAGAAATGTTAGAGTATGGCTTTGCTTACCAGGCAACTATCTTAAACTTATAGAAAAAGAGAAGAGACCGTCTTAGAAAATGACATTTTAGAAGAAAGCAAGTTAATAGAAAGAGACAGCAACATGAATACAAACAAGAGGGAGACAGAAACAGATAGGCGCCCACATAGCTCTGTGTCTGTTTGTGGTGTGTGTGTGTTATGCATGTGGTGTATGTGTGCTGTGTGTGTGGTGTGTGGTGTACATATAGTGTGTGTGTGTGTGTATGTGTGGTCTATATGTGGTGTGTGGTATATAGGTTGTGTGTGTGTGTATGTGGTGTGTGATGTATGTATTTGTGGTGTGTGTGTGTGGTGTATGTGTGTGGTGTATATGTGTGGTATAGATGTGTGGTACATGTGTGGTGTATGTGTGATATGTATGTTTTGTGTGTGTGCTGTGTGTGCTGTATGTGTGGTATGGTGTGGCGTGTGTGTGTCTGTGTGTGGTGGAGAGATGAATGTTGGAGAATGCCTCTATGGAGAAGTCATATCTTTAATGAAGTCCCAAAGAATTCATTTCAAAGAAGTCACAAGGAATTCATTTCAAAGAAGTTCAAGAAATTTGTGCTGGGAAGAGGATGGAGAAAGATAATGTTAAGTAGATTAACTAACACATACCAAGACCCATAAGAGAGAAAATGGTTTCTAACTGCAAATAATACAGTTTATACAGAGTACATTGTATGTATCACATAAAATTGTAGAGAGATAAAAGTGTAAAATGAAGAGATTTTTCCTTTGACTCAGAAATCCTACTTCTTGGAATCTCTCTCAATAATACACTGGCAATGACTAATGTACACAGCATTATTTGTAATAGCACAAAACTGAAAATAACTGAAGTGTCATTCAAAAAAGATTGTTTGAATAAAAAATGGCAAATACATAAGAACTATGCAATTAGTGCTGTCCAAAATCAATTTTTAAACAAATATAATAATGTACAGAGAAATATTTATAGTAAGCTTTCTTTTACACAAGAAAGCGGGGTATGAATACACACACACACAGTAATGTCATGTAAAACTAATGCTAATAGCATGTTCAGTTATGGGGGTGGGTAAGGAATGGAACAGAGGGGAGCACGTTTGGAAATGACATTTATGGGTTTGTACCTTGTTATATTGCTTTAAATTTGCAATCATGTAAAAGCTTTATATAATAAAAAACCAAACACATAGAAAAGAAAGGAATCTTTTATTTCTGAATCAGGTCATGACTGGATTTAGTATTTACCCTCACAAAGTAAACTTTTATAAAAATGGACAAAAAGGTGTGAAGCAACTGTTTGCAGCACTGAACAATAGACAGGGTGTGGCTGTAATCCTCCCAGGGAAGGGAAAAGCATGAGGTGAGGTTCACATTCACTCCAGCTTTTTGCCTGGGGCAGTTCCCATAACACACAACTGAGAAGTAGAGCCTAGGTAGAGATCAATAGGTGTCACTGAATAGAGAAAAAATACAGATTGAAGCTCAGGGATTTTGAAGTTGCTAGAATTTTTGGGACGGGATAAAAAAGAGCGAACTATGCAGAGGCAAAGCTCCAAAAATCTGTACAAAGGATCCCTTGAATCTTTGGCTGAATACTAAGTCTATGTATAAAAATGAAATTTCAAAGAATTGGTCAGACAATAGCTACAGGAGAACGGTGAGCTAAACAGGACACAAGAGGACATACTTCCTGTGAGTCGGAGTGAAGAAATGATACTTAACTTATGAAACATTTATTTGCAACCACAGAAAGGTTGTGCCTCAGGAGTTGGGTTATGCAAGCTTAGCTTAAGGCTGTCCTCTCCAATATGGTTAGCTTCTAGATACAATTGGCTATTTTAATTTAAATGAATGAAAATGAAATAAAATTTAAAACACAGTTATTTGGTCACAGTAGCTATATTTTAAATAATCCATAGTCATGTGGATAGTAGCTATGATATTAAAAAAAGTGCAGATAAAAAACATTTCCATTATCATAGAAATTTCTTTTAGATAGCACTGATTCAGGTAAGGGCTCTTCTAGACCTGCTTTGGAAAGGGTAAAACCAAGCCTTGACGTGAATCAGCTGACCTATTAGTAATGAACCACCTTCCAGAAGAAAACAAAACATCCTTTAAAGGAAGAAAAGGAAATCCAGACTCTCAAAAATGTAGCATCTATAATGTACAGCATCTAATAAAAAATATTAGGCATGAGAAAAACAAGAAAATGACATTCATAATCAGAAGACAGTCAATTGAATAGACCCAATAGGTCAATCAAATAATAGAGATTTTTGAAATTGTTATGAAAGGACTTCAAAATAGCTATTGCAAACATATTAAAGTATTTAAAGGAAAATATGGATATGATGAGTAATTCTACAGAGAATCCCACCAGAGAGATGAAAATTACAAAAAAAATCAAATGGAAATTCTAGAAATAAAAATTCACTGGATAGGATTAATGGGAGATCTGACACTGCAGAATAAAAAAATACATTAACTCGAAGACATGACATTGAAACTGTCTTTGCAAATATAACAAAGAGAGAAATCTGGCATGGCTGACACCATTTTGCTTCTAGCCTCACAGGCTGGCTGTCCTCACTTATTCCTGGGCATAAGTGAAGCTAACTATGGGAAGAATCAGTTTATAGTTTAATTTTGAATTAAGGGTAATAGTCCCTCCCTAAAACTGATCTCTTCCTTGTTCAGGCCCTGAAACTGCCTTTGTAAGAGGAATAAAAGGCCACAAGATTAGGATTATGGGAGGGGCCTAAACTCTGCTAAATGTAGACATAGTTTCTATAAACCCTTACTGTCAGGAGTCATGTGGCCAGAGGTCACAAGATTTGTGACTTCCCAGTTGCTCCTGTAGATAACATCACTATTGTAGAACCTAAGATTGGTCTTTTGAGATGTTTTTCAGACTGATCCCACACAGACTCATGACTCCTGACTCAACTAGTCCTGTGGCCCCCACTTAGAGGTGGACTTAGTGCACAAGGACTGTTTTCCACACCTCTATGATTGCATTCTTTACCAATCAGCAGCACACATGCACTGTCCTCTGACTGCCAAACTATTCTTGAAAAACTCTAATCTCTGAGTTTTCAGTGAGACAGATTTGAGTGAGTTCTCCAGTTCTTCCATGTGGTTGGCCTTGTGTTAATTAAACTCTTTCTTTCTTTGTTTGTTTCTTTTTTGACGAAGCCTTGCATTGTTGCCAGGCTGGAAGGCAGTGGTGCAATATCGGCTCACTGCAACCTCTGCCTCCTGGGTTCAAGCAATTCTCTTGCCTCAGCCTCCCGAGTAGCTGGGATTACAGACACACACCACCACACCCAACTAATTTTTGTATTTTTAGTAGAGACGGGGTTTCACCATGTTAGCCAGGGTGGTCTCAATCTCTTGACCTTGTGATCTGCCCACCTCAGCCTCCCAAAGTGCTGGGATTACAGGCATGTAAACTCTTTCTTTACTGCAATACCACAGTCTCAGTGAACTGGTTTTGTCTGTGCAGCAGGCAGGAAGAACTTGCTGGGTGATTATAACATTAGAAATTCATTAGAAATTCATTTGTGCTGAATCTCTATCTCTCTCTCACACACACCCAGAGAGAGAGAGAGAGAGAGAGAGAGAGCAACTCAATAACTAGTACAAAATAACAAACAGTATAAAAAACATGTTTTTGGAGTCCCCAGAAGAGAAAAGAGGGAAAAAATTGTAGCAGAAAAAATTATTTGAAAAAATATCTGATAAATTTCTAATTTTGATGAAAACTCTAAACTCACACACCTAAAGAGCCCAATTAACCTCAATCAGGATGAATACAAATAATTATACACCTAGGTACATTATAGTCAAATTTATAAAAACCAAAGATAGGGAGAAAATCTTAAAATTATCTAGAGGAAAAAAGGCATATATACTAAAACAACATTAAGAATGATCGCTATCTATTAAGAAATAATGTAATACAGAAATTAAATTACCCCTTTAAAAAGAATCCCCCATCCCCAAACTGTCTATCTGAAGTTCTATATCAAGAAAAATTGTCCTTCAGTTTAATATAATTGTGGTCTACATGTATGACTATCTTTCTAAAGGGGAATTTAGTGCCTTCTGTGTCAGTCTTTTATATTACATTTTGCCTTTTAATGTTGTCATACTGGTTCATATCTTAATACAATGTAAATAGTTCTAATCTATCCTCTAGTATCTTCCCTTAAGATGTGTGAATATAACAAAATATGCACCCTTTTGTCTTTTTTTGTTCAAGGAAAGAAACAATGCCTTCAATAGTTCCTCACATGACTTAATTTTAGAGCCTTCAGAATTCTGGTTACTCTGTTTGAAATGTATTTTTGTTTAGTTTATATCTTTCTTAAAATGAATGTAATTCCAGAAATAGATGTCATTCTCCAAGTATCATCTAAACAGAGGAAAGTATGAGAAGAACCTTCCTTATAAATTATGAAAGATTATGCAGTTACTGTAGAATTATTTTGTGTAATTTGAAAAAAAAAAGCTTATCTATCTATCTAGAAAGGAAAATAAAATCTTAGGGCCCCAGACTCCCTATGTCAAAGGGAAAAGTCAAGCTTGGGAACTGAGTCATGCAAAGCTGCCTCCCATTTTTTCCTAAATAGATAGCTACAAAGATAAAAGGCTACATACGTCTCTCACAGTTTGCTCACAAGTAAATTCCTTGTGGGCCCCAAGATATATAAATAAGAGACAGAGGTCTTACTCTGTCACCCAGGCTAGAGTACAGTGGTACAATCATAGCTCACTGCAGTCTCTAACTCCTGGGCTCCAGCAACAACCCTACCTCCTCAGCCTCCTGAGTAGCTAGGACTACAGGCACTTGCCAATATGCCTGGCTCTCTCTCTCTCTCTCTATATATATATATGTATATACATATACATATGTATATATATGTGTATATATATGTGTGTATATATATACACATATATATACATATGTGTGTATACATATATGTGTGTGTGTGTGTGTGTGTGTGTGTGTGTATATATATATATATATATATATATATATATATATATATATATATATATATATTTATGGAGATGGAGTCTCACTGTGTTCCCCAGGCTGATCTCAAACTCTTGGCCTCAAGCGATCTTCTGACCTCAGCCTCCCAAAGCACTGGGATTGCAAGCATGAGCCACTGTGCCCAGCCTGACCCCAAGATCTTTACCTTGTAACAGTTGTGTTGAATTTCATCCTGACAAAGTAAATTAATAGCTTATGTTCACAGGTATGGAACAAAGGACAAAACTAGAAGTCATCCATCTGCTCACCTGAGACAAATGCATATTTGACTGTTTCCTCTCCTCTATGTTTACTTTGTCTTATGTAAAAATGCAGATTCACTGAGCACAAGATGAATGCATAATTGGCTATTTCTTTATCTCTCCGTTCACATGTAAAATGTGAATTCAGAGAAAGCTGATCAAAGACTCAAAAGAATGCAACTGCTTGCCACCTTTATCTACCCTTGCCCCCATTTTTTCTTTCTCTTTTCCCTACTGCCTGCTCTTTCCTCTTTAAATACAGAAGTCCCTGAACCCTTTTTGGAAAAAGCATGAATCACAGATATTGCCTGTGATTTTGTGTTCCTTTTTCCTCAGCATGTCCTCAACTTAGCAAAATAAACCTCTAAAATTATTGAGACTCACCTCTGTCAATTTCTTTAATTTAATATGTATAAAACAATGTTATACCACTGTTTATTTATATGAACTCATAGTCAACTAAAACCTCTTAGTCTTTTTAAATGTAGTTTGCTAAGACACCTTTGCTCTATTTTATTCTTTCTTTTATTAATTTTAGGTGTCCTAAATCTTAAAACCTAAAGCCAACTCTTAAACAATTTAATCTGGTAAAATTTAGCTTCATTTTTTTAATCTGCATTTTTTTTTCTGAGAACTTGTGTTTGCCAGTGAATTTAAACTTTCACATCAGAAGACCCAGGTTAAAAATGACGTTTGTTTTTATAGTGTATGCATTCTACTTTTCTACAGAATTGATTTTTTTTTCTTTTTGAAAAATATTATATCAGTGAAGAATTTCAGTTTTAGGATATACAGACCAGATGCTGGACCAGAGTATGACACTGAGAATCATTTTAGAGGACTCAACCAACTGAATTCATGTAGGAAAAAAAATTACTTTAAACATAACCAGCACTATCAAAGCTGATAAATTTAAAGGCTTCAGAAATGATATCTGCTAGAAATCTAGGGCTTCACTTGAACACATACCAGTGCATTTGAATGAAAACAAAGTAAAGAACCAAAACATTTTTGTATTAGTCCATTCTCATGCTGCTGATAAAGACATAGACTGGGAAGAAAAAGAGGCTTAATGGACTTCCAGTTCCACATGGCTGGGGAGGCCTCACAATCATGGCAGAAGGCAAGGAGGAGCAAGTCATGTCTTACATGGATGGCAAGAGGCAAAGAGAGAGAGAGCTTATGCAGGGAAACTCCCATTTTTAAAACCATCAGATCTCATGTGACTTATTCACTGTCATGAGAACAGCATGGGAAAGACTCACTCCCATGATTCAGTTACCTCCCACCAGGTTTCTCCCACAACATGTGGGAACTGTGGGAGTTACAATTCAAGAGATTTAGGTGGGGACACAGCCAAGCCATATCATTCTGTCCCTGGGGCCAAGCCATATCATTCTGTCCCCGGCCCCTCCCAAACCTTATGTTCTTTTTACATTTCAAACCAATCATGCCTTCCCAACAGTCCCCCGAAGTCTTAACTCATTTCAGCATTAACTCAGAAGTCCACAGTTCAAAGTCTAATCTGAGACAAGGCAAGTCCCTTCCACCTATGATCCTGTAAAATCAAAAGCAAGTGAGTTACTTTCCAGATACAATGGGGGTACAGGCATTGGGTAAATACAGCTATTTCAATGGGAGAAATTGGCCAAAACAAAGGCTACAGGCCCCATGCAAGTCCAGAATCCAGCAGGGCAGTCAAATCTTAAAGCTCCAAAATGATCTTGATGCTGAAGCAAGAGGTGGGTTCCCATGGTCATTGGCAGCTCCAACCCTGTGGCTTTGCAGAGTACAGCCTCCCTCCTGGCTGCTTTCATGGGCTGGTTTTAAGTGTCTGAGGCTTTTCCAAGTGCATAGTGCAAGCTGTAGGTTGATCTAACATTCTGGGGTCTGGAGGATGGTGGCCTTCTTCTCACAGTTCTACTAGGTGGTACCCCCAGTAGGGACTCTGTGTGGGGGTTCCTACCTCACATTTCCCTTCTGCACTGCCCTACAGAGGTTCTTCATGAGAGCCCCATCCTTGCAGCAGACTTCTGCCTGGACATCCAGGTGTTTCCATACATCCTCTGAAATCTAGGTGGAGGTTCCCAAACCTCAATTCTTGACTTCTGTGCACCTGCAGGCTCAACACGATATGGAAGCTGCCAAGGCTTTGGGCTTGCACCCTCTGAAGCCACAGCACAAGCTGTACCTTGGCCCCTTTTAGTCATGGCCGGAGTGGCTGGGACACAGGACACCAAGTTCCTAGACTGCACACAGCCCAGGGACCCTTGGGCCAATCTAGGAAACCACTTTTTCCTCCTAGGCTTACAGGCCTGTTATAGGAGGGACTGCCATGAAGACCTCTGACATGCTCTGGAGACATTTTCCCCATTTTCTTGGAGATTAACATTCAGCTCCTTGTTACTTATGCACATTTCTGTAGCCAGCTTTAATTTCTCCTTAGAAAATGGGATTTTCTTTTCTATTGCATTGTCAGGCTGCAAATTTTCCAACTTTTATGCTCTGCTTCCCTTTTAAATCTAAATGCTTTTAGCAGCACCCAAGTCACCTCTTGAATGCTTTGTTGCTTAGAAATTTTTTCCACTAGATACCCTTAATCATTTCTCTCAAGTTAAAAGTTCTGCAAATCTCTAGGGCAGGGGCAAAATGCCACCAGTCTCTTTGCTAGAACATAACAAGAATCACCTTTGCCCCATTTCCCAATGAGTTCCTCATTTCCATCTGAGACCACCTCAGCCTGGACCTTATTGTTCATATCACTATCAGCATTTTTGTCAAAGCCATTTAAGAAGTCTCTAAGAAGTTCCAAACTTTCCCACATGTTCCTGTCTTCTTCTGAGCTCTGCAAACTGTCCCAAACTCTGCCTGTTACTCAGCTGCAAAGTAGCTTTCATATTTTTGGGTATCTTTTCTGCAGTGCCCCACTCTACTGGTACCAATTTACTGTATTAGTCCATTTTCATGCTGCTGATAAAGACATAACTGAGACTGGGAAGCAAAAGAGGTTTAATGGACTCCCAGTTCCACATGGCTGGGGAGGACTCACAATCAAGGCAGAAAAGAAAAAGAAGCAAGTCACATCTTAGATGAATGGTGGCAGGCAGAGAGAGAGAGAGAACTTGTGCAGGAAAACTTCCATTTTTAAAATCATCAGACCTCGTGAGACTTATTCACTATCAGGAGAACAGCATGGGAAAGACCTGCCCCCATGATTCAATTACTGCCCGCCAGGTTCCTCCCATGACACATGGGAATTGTGAGAGTAACAATTCAAGATGAGAATTGGGTGGGGACACAGCCAAACCATATCAATTTTTTTCCTAGGTAGACCTCCCCTTGTTCTTTTACTCTGAGACTGTTAACTTGTTGCCTTATCTGTTGTGAACTCCTGTTGAAAACATTCTCATTTGACAAAGGCATTTTTGTATTCAATGTACACATTTTTTTCTACAAAAAGATCGATATATATATGTTTTTTTTTCTTGAGGTGAGAAATGAAAAACCACAAAAGCTTTACTGGTTACTGCCTTGCTGTGGTAGCCTTTATGAGAGCAGGCTTTTCAGTAACTCATTGTCAGGTTATCTCACACTTGTCAGCTGAACAGCTGCACACTTCCTTCTCCAAGGCCACAGTCATTACTGAGCATGGCATGGGGTCCTCATTCCATCACTTAAGTGTGGCTGTGGAAAGAAACTGCTGCCTGGACTTCCGGGCAGCTATACAATCCTTAGAAGTGGTGAAAGAAGCATCAGAAGTGGTTCCCTGAAGGTACTCTTCTCTGAAAGCAGTGCCAGGCAGCTAGTAGGGTGCCTGAATGAATGGAACAGGAAAAGAATACACCTTGAAAGGATAAAAATCCCATATCACAGGCAGAGTTCAGACAGCATGGATTGGAAGTAGTGTGTATAATATACAATCACTTACGTTCTGCAGATGGTCAATTAACACAAGGATAGGATTTTAAAATATCTTTCTTTTAAGATATATTTTCATATGGTGAAATGCACAGATCTATTTTTTACTATGGTTAAAAATGCATAATGTACAAATTGCCATTTAAACCTTTTCTAAGTACACAGTTCTGTTGCATTAAGTACTTTCCGATTGGAAATGCACAGATCTTCAGTGTACAATTCGATGAGTTTTGGCAAATACATATACCTGTGACACTAATATATCTTTCAAGATATTGAACATTTTTGTTACTCTGAAAAGTACTTTTATTGTCCCTATGTCCGTCAAGCATAAAATTTAAATAATAACTTACTTTTCTCCATTATATGATCTTTTTCATTAAATAGCATGTAAAAAGATTTGTAAGTATAGAAAAATAACACAAAAAGAATCATCCACAAGGCAAATCATAACCCATACTGATACATCAAATCCTTAAGTAAGCCAATGACACAGCAAGAAATAAAATACAGAAGTAAAGAAGTTTAAGAAAAAAATTATTTTATTTTTAGAGACAGTATCTTGCTCTGTTGGTCAGGCTGGAGTGCATTGGTACAATCACAGCTCATTGTAGCCTTGAACTACTCGGCTCAAGCGATCCTTCCACCTCATCCTCCCAAATAGCTGAGACTACAGGCATGCACAACTATACCCAGCTAATTTTTACCTTTTTTTTTTTTTATGTAGAGATGGAGTCTTGCTGTGTTCTCCAGCCTGGTCTCAAACTTCTGGCCTTGAGCTTCCTCCTGCCTCAGCCTCCCAAAGTACTAGAATTACAGGTGTCAGCCACTGTGCCTCACCTAGAAGGTGTTTATAACTATAGTGCAACTATAAATTTTGTTTTAGGATAATAGAATAATTCTTGAGGTCACTGTCTCACTCATCTCTCCCAAGAAAGTTTAAAATAGTGTATGGTCACTAAGCCCACAATTCCAGGCTTCTCTCACCTCGAAGATTTCCCATTCTATATAAGCTGCTGAAATCACCAGCTTTTGGATACACCTCCAAGAAGAACAAGGAAAGCACCAGGGGGGCGAAATGGATTCATAGCATCATTTATCCCTGATGAAAATAACGTTAACTGGGTCTGATGTGTTACTCTTGATAATCTGAGAACCTGGCTGAACCTTTATTTCTTTGTTACTTTGGTGCAGTTGGCAGCATTGGCCAGAATGACCAGAATGACAATGTGGTTTAGATCGGGATTGTGGAACAAATGAAATAATGGTTAGAGACACCCCATCCTCCCAATCACTGAGCAGAATCAATAGATGCCTATGTTTTAGGTGTGGCCTTAGAACATACTTCTGGGCATATGCTAGGGCATGAAAGGGTGGAGCTGTTAGGGCAGAAGAGCAATTTATGGAGATAATGACCTCTCAGGGAAGAGAATGTCCCCATTTGTGTCCACATGAGATAGAAATGGCACTGGGTAGTTACAGGAAAATGGAAAACCTCAAACAACAGCTAAAACAGAAACTAGGCAAAGAAACCACAGGATAACAGAAAATCCAAAATAAGGAGAGAAAATGGCCAAAATCCTGGTCGTGTGACATGTCCATGACTCTTCCAGGCAAACCCAAATAGGGGAGAAAGGGGCGGTAGGAGTGCAGGCACATCCCTGAAATCATCTCCTTTTCCAGAACATCTAATGATTATTCCACATTTCAGTTAAAGAAACACTCATAAAATTAGAAAGTCAAGCTTTGTATGCATGACTTGTTCTCACAAGCATGCCTGGACTTCTCTCTTCAGTGTGTACTTTCGCTTTACAATAAAAGCTTCCTGCCTTTCACCTCCTTCTGACTCATCTCTGAATTGTTTCTTGTGATTGTGTCAAGAATCTGGAAACTAGCTGGGCTGGGGTCTCACTGGCATGCAGAGACTCTCCTGGGATCACACTGGCATCCACAGAGCCTCTTGAGCCCTCCAGCAACAAGTTGATCTGGTAATAGCTTTGGAACTTTGAGGGGAAGTTGGAGACTTGGCATGAGGGATAAATGCAGTGGACTGAGACTTTAGACAAGTGGGGATGGGGTCTTTGACCAGGCGCCAGTGGTAGCTCTCCACGCAAGCTGCTCGTTTCCTATGGATCCCCCTAGCTGTGGTGGGCATTGCAGTTGCCCTTGGGTATTTCGAGTGGCAGGGTCTGCTCACCCTGGATAGACCATCACTATCCAGCTGTGCCACTTTGCATGCTCCATCCTTCCTCTGCTCCTTCTCGGCTGCTGATTTTAGAAACAAGGTAGACCAGGTAAGTCTGACTGTTTACAAATACTCCAATCTAGCCTGATCTTCAGGCCTCCAGCTGCTAGACGGCTCCAGTGAAGGGATCTTGACTATTTTAGGGTACCCCCGGTCACTTGAAAAGCTATCTTTCTCTGGAAGCAGATGGCTCAGAGTCTGTTGTGTGAGTGAGGGTGAAGGCGGCCTCCAAACTTAATGCCAGATCTGGCTAGTTTTAGCATCAGAACACCAATGGAGAGTAGGTCCTGTGCCTTTAAAAAGTTGGCTTCCAAGGGGTAAGGAAGACAGATGTCTTCGTCATCTGGATTTAGTAAATCAAGTGCCTACCATTTTAGGTGATCCCCTTCTTGAGCATGCACTTTTGGAGCATATCAAAACCTGGGGTTCATTGTGAGGGCAGATAGATGAGGAAATTGGATGCACACCTGTTCAGTCTTTCAACATGGGGGTATATCCTCTGTGTGAGGGGGTTCTGAAGGCCTGTGAGATTGAGACTGGCCTTTACTGGTGCTGATGGAGGCTCCTGCTACTGCAAACTGGGCTGCTCCGTGGAGTCATTGTTAAGTGGAGCTGTACAGACTGCAGGGCTAAGCACAGGGTTTGGTGTAGATGATGCGGTGCCGGCTCTGCGTGCAACCAGGTTTGCTATAGTTCAGCTGCAATGAGTGCTGCTGATGGAGTTTTGCTTGACACTGCATGCATGTGGCCAGCCAGATGGTAAATTTTCTGCTTCAATGTTCATTAAACCCAGCTCATGGTTGATGCACAGCTGAGTCATTCCCTTTGCCAATGGCTGAGACAGTGCCTCTGACTTAGCGGTCTGCATGGCTCACTGCCAGGTGTGCAGATCTCAGGAGGAAGTGTGGATCAATACCAGGCAGCCTGAGTTATTCAGCTGGAAATGATCTTGTGGACTGCCTCTACATTGACAAAATGGACATCAGAATATTCAATAAATGTATACCCAAAGGAAATAAATGATGGAAGCCCTTTTCCCCCTCAGATTCTACTTCATTTGACAACCTTGAAAGACATTTTCTGAGAGATTTGGCTTTGGGTTATACAGATATTTTTTAATATAAACTTAGTACTGGAGCAGTTTCAGCAGAAAACAGGGGATGGTCCAAAAACATGTAATGGTTGGTGGAGAACACCAGGTAAATTTTCTCTAGGAAAAATATTCTGTGTCATCTTTGAAGAGAAAAAGAAACCTCTTTATCCATTTGAAAGGATATTTCCCCAATATATTTATATGAAATTAAGTGAGGTAGATAAATTGGCCTTCCTATATCTTAAGGGAAATCCTCAAAATGAAGAGATAGGCACAGAACTATATCACAAATACCTATAATATTATAAATCATAAACACTTAAAACTTTTATGGCCTCTACTATGGGGACAATCAAGACTGTGCTTCTTGAGCTAAGAGAATAGCAGATTCTGGACAGGCTCCAAGTATTGCCAATTACTTAAAGTCACCCACCCTTTGAGGGGATTTGGGAGAATCTTCTTGTGCTTCAGTCCTGTGGAGTAAGAAGTGATTGCAGCATGGGTCGAATAATGATTCACATGCACTATTAGCAGAGTGCAAAGTTAACAAGGGACAGACTATGTTGGTTTTTTTTTTAATGTATCAACTTGAGCAGGCTGCAGTCTCCAGTCTTTCAGTCAACACTACTAGGTGTTGTGATAAGATTTTGCAGATGTAATTAAAGTACCTAATCAGTTGACTTTGAATAAGGAAGATAATTCTGGATAATCCAGGTGGGCCTGACATAACCAGCCGAAAGCCTTAGAAGCAGAACTGAGGCTTTCCCAAGAGAACAAATAATTCTCCCATATACAACAGCTTTAGCTTCGACCCATGGAGTTCTATTTGGAGTTCTTGTGAGTTCCTTTCCTGACCACTTGCCCTATGAATTTCAGACTTGATTAGCCCATCACACAATTGTGTAAGATAATTCCTGTAACAAATCTCTTAATGCATCTATCTCTTATGGGTTCTGTTTTTCTGGCAGATGCATATAGCTCACATTCAAGAGATTCTCTGCTTACTGAAATTTTAATTTATCTAACCTTTGTGACTTCTACAGATCTCTGATACCTTTAAAAATATGACTATTGTACCTCATTTGTTTTTTTCTAGTTGTTGTAGTGGGAGTTTTGGTCTCCCAGTGTCTACTGTAGAGTCTCCCAACAGATATGGAGTAGAAAAGAAGAAGGAATGGTATTCAACTTACAATGTGGTTCTGACATTATTTGTATAACAAGGTCTAAATATTTACATTCTGAGACATGGGTATAATTAAATATTCCAAGTATTGCCTGTCCATGAATTCTTAAATCTTAAACTCAATCTAAGTAGCACTTAGAGTTTTACGATGACTTTAATATTCCCTATTGCAAAGTTAAGTAATAGGATTGGAGTCATAAAGAAAGACACGTGATCCTGTATAATGGAACTCCTGACACTTGGTGGGAGCATCCTGTACATCAAGAGCCAGTATATCCTTTGCTCATTTCATTTCAACTGCCATTTATTTCTTCAAGGTGACTTCTTATGATGCTACTTTTTGCTTCCCACTTTATTCTCTTTCATTTCTTGTAAATTTCTTTGGAGGGAGATGCTTCTTTTTTGTAAGGTTGTACATGTGATACAAATTCAGGCTTAGAGAAGACAAATAAATTCAAAGAACCAGCATAGGGCATGGGCTGTAAAATGCGCAGCTGTCTAAAGAAGCCCAGTTGAAACAACTGGAGATGCGGGTGTGGGATCCGGAGTGAGAAGCAAGGCAGAGTCTGTGGTGACTCTGAATCTTCACAGCAGGCATAAGTGAAAAGAAGAAAAGGCAGGTTTGATTAGGAAAAGAATATGCAACATGCCTCACATGCACTGGGTAGCCTGTTCTATATATGGAGTTTACCTCATACTACAAGGATTTATGTGTATGTTTTCCACAGTTATCTGAGAGCTCCTACAACTCACTGTTCAGGTCTTCCTGTCTTTTGATTTCAGACCTTACCTCCCCTTAATATCCTCTACCAACTACCCTCCATTCTCTCATCTTCCAACCCTTCCTCCTGCCCTTTGACTTTGTCTCAGAATGTTATGGTCTATTGTACAAAGGCACAAAAAGAGCCACTGTACTCAATTTTGTTGGCTATATACAGCTAAGTACATCTTAAAAAATTGTTGCATTTTTAAAAGAACAATTTACATCCTAGAAGGTATCTTCATTTATGGACATAAGCTCTTTTAAATGCAATAGCAATGCTACACCCAACAATTACTTTATCTGTATAAGGATGCAGCATTTGGGGTTACATTCTATAATGATATGAAATAAAAAAATTATGCTAGAAAAAAGTTACACTTCCAAAATTATTTAAACTTGATTTTAGTTTTCAGCATCGGAAATATTGCAATTACAGCTCAGAAAAATGAGGAAAGGCCTCTAAGAGACTCTTCTTGCTGAAATGTGATTCCAAATAAATAAATAAGCATACTTGAATTGATAATAAGGCTTTGAGCTATTCAGCTTAAAAATAGGCTTACCCCATTAAGATTATTAAACTCAGAGGCATATTCTGAAAAGAGCTTTTGAAAATGGATTTCTTGCAAACTGTCATCAAATATTCATAGATAAAATAATTATGTGGAAAGATAAAGGGATGGTGGAAATTAAAGGGGGCTGATAATAAAGGGAACTGGATGAGATAGTTAAGCAAACTTTTTGAGAGGGAGAATTTTTTTAGAGGAGGTTGGCGTGAAGCTTAGACTTGAACATTTGAGCATCTGTTTTTTTAGCCCCTCATTGCTTCTGTCCTGGTGAATAAAGTGCATGGATAAGCATAGGTGACAATTGCTTGACTGTGATGGAATTTAACTCCCATATGGGTTTGTATTCTTTGTTGCTATACATTCAGTCTTTTCCTTACCATGAGCATGGATGAGGCTATGCAGTGTTCTTTGCAACCTTTATCATGTCTAACACAGTTCAGGGAAGTGTCACTGAACAATAGGCTGGTGGCTGAGAAGAACGCTGTATACTCAGTTTCATATTTCCTTGCTGAAAGCCAACACATAAGATATTTAAATTTGTATGGTCTTACAGCTAACTGAGTGGAAAGATAGGGATTTGCAAATTTAACCAACTTAACTATTTTATACCTGAATATTTGATGATAGAAGTAGGAAATTCCTTTTTTTTTTTTTTTTTGAGATGGAGTCAAGACTGTGCCACCCAGGCTGGAGTGCAGTGGTAGGATCTCAGCTCACTGCAACCGCCACCTCCCGGGTTCAAGCAGTTCTCCTGCCTCAGCCTCCTGAGTAGCTGGGATTACAGGCACCCGCCACCACACCCGACTAATTTTTGTATTTTTAGTAGAGATGAGGTTTTGTCATGTTGGCCAGGCTGGTTTCGAACTCCTGACCTCAGGTGATCCACCTGTCTTGCCCTCCCAAAGTGCTAGGATTACAGGCATGAGCCACCACGCCCATCCCAGAAATCTATTTTTAAAAGAACTTTGTGTAAAGCTCTTCCTATTTGAAGGTCTTCTTGTTTATATTTCCTAATGCTCTCTTGAGTAGTAGCTGGAAGTTTAGACTGAATATTTGTCATTTTCTTTTACTTTCCAAATCACTCCAATCTGTGTGACTCTATCTTTTGTTGTAATCAAGTCTCAGTGAATAAACCAGGCACCTTCTAACCAAAGTAGACAATTTACCTCCTGTATTGACCTCCACACAAAATTGTCTAATGGGTCTCTACCCTGCTCAAGTATCCTCTACCCTCTGAGTACTTTCTCAACCAGACACCTAAAGGAAACAGATGCCTGAGTCAGAGCAGCTCTGGAGCAGAAATTTGTTTTCTGAATTGCCAAGATACCTATTAAGTTACAGAAAAATATATCTAAATTTTATATTTTACAGCATGCAAATAAATGTGTATAAAATATAAATATATTTAGGTTATGAATCAATATATATATACATAAATCAATGTTATTGATTTAATAGGTTTTAGTGTTTACTAGAAAAGGAATTATTGAATTTGTAAAGATGGCTCACATAAATATGCTTAAAATACATTAATCATAATGTGTGAATGTGTTTAAAACAAAGACAATTTCACAATATTAATAGCTACCAAGAGATATTCTACATGAAATTTGTTTGATGTTTTATACTAGAAAGATTAAGGACTATGAAATGTTTCCCTTGATCATTTGACAATGTAATATTGTATATCTTGTAACTATTAGGCATCATCCTAGGTTCTAAAAATAAAATTTTTAAAATGGAGGAAAAATTCTGCCACCAGGGAGTCAGGGAGACAGAGGGTGACAGCGCTTAAATGCTACAGCATATAAATCCCAGGAGGCTGAGTGTAGCACTTGACGGCCACCTAGTCCAGACGGGGTCAGATACCATCCAAGTGAGTTGATGTTTGAGCACAGTCCCTGTATCCTTCACTTTCTAAAGCATGAATGTCCTGAGCCCTATTCCTACAGGATTCTATTCTAAGGACGTGGTCTTCACATTAAAGAGCATCATGAATAAACACACACTGAAGTGTTAATAGCTGATGATGAGTTCATGTGTTATCTCGTCTCACATTTTATTAAAGAACAAAAGACTTTATGTCTAGCTCATGTAGCTAATGATGGACTTAAAAATAAAAAAGCGTTAATAGTGAATGATGGACTTTCAGGTTCCAGTAGCACAGTTAATTAATTTGGATGAAGTGTATTGTCTTAGTGCCTTTAAATTACAGATGCAATTTTGCAGATAATACCGCTATTCTCACATTTCTCCTCTCATTAGCTGCTACTTGGTTCTCCACTTTTGCATCCATAGAATTTTAGGAAATTTCCAGGACTCTGAGCTAGATCTCAAAATCTCACGAGCCCAGAAATCAATCAGGGTATAAAAGTGGAGACTAGCTTTTAAAACTGATTTATAAACCAGCCAACAGGTATCTAAGGAAATGAGTTTCAAACTACCCTTAATAATATCTTTTGTCACCACAACACAATGATCAAAATTAGGAAATTAACATTGGTACAGTAGTGTAAACACAACTATAGACCTTATTTAAATTTCACCAACTTTTCCACGAATGTCCTTTTTCTATTCTGGTATCCAGTACAGGTTCTCAAATAGCATTTAGTTGTTATTTGTCCTGAGTCTCCTCCAATATATGATTGTTTCTCAGCCCTTCCTTGTCTTTCATGACCTTGACACTTTTGAAGAGTGCTGGTCAGCTGCTTTGTAGAGTGCCCTTCAACTTAGCTTTGTCTAATGTTTTCTCACGATTCGATTGAGGTGCGGCACTGTTGCCAGGTATGTCACAGACAGGCTGTGCTGTTCTTAGTATATCATATCAAGGGCACATGGTATTCATATGTCTTACTGCTGGTGATGTTAACCTTTATCACTTGGTTAAGGTGGTGTCTGCTGGATTTCTTAACTGTGAAGTTTCTCTTTTCACTTTGTAATTCATAAATATCTTGGAGGAGATACTTTGACACTGTGAAAGTATCCTGCTTCTCTTCAAATTGATACCTTTAATTCCAACCCCCACACTACACATTTCATTCCAGTCTTCCCTCACTCTTTATTTGTAAGGAATATGTTCCCAAACAATGAGAAACTTGGCTCTAATTATCGCCTATATTTACTTACTTGTTCAATCCTAGCATAAATATAAAATGGCTTTAGAATTGCTAAACCAAAATCCTGTGAGAAACAAAGTTACTAATTAGATTACAGTTTTTTTGTATAGAGTTTTGTCTTTAGCCTTACAATGTCTAATTAAAATATTGTTTTCCAAAGATATTTTGTTTGGTTAATTCTTTTCTTTCTCAACATCTTCAGTGGTATTAAGGTATTCATTCATTTAGGCTCATTTGTTACTGCGTTATTTTATGTTGAGTCTTTCTTTCTCCATCCTGGCTGAATTTAACTGTTTACATGTTTTGGGATATTTTATAATATGTGAAACCTTATAGAAGTTTTAAGAATTACAGCTATGAAACAAGAATATTCAAAGAATTGTCACTACCCATTCCTGTTTCTTTTTTCCATTTTTCCATCCTGTTAACACCTACCCTCCATAGGTAACTACTCTTTTTAGTTTCTGGTTTATACTTCTTGCATTTCTTTACAGAAATGAACAGATACATGTCTATGTTATTCTACCCTTTTCTTACATGAAGGGTAGTCTACAATAGTATGGGCACTTTACTTTCTTCACTTAATATCATATCACAGGAATCACTTGGTATCCTTTCATAGAGATCTTCCTCATCCTTCTTTATATGTGTAATACTACATCACATGGAGGTTTACTCAACCACTCTCCTGTGTAGGGGCATTTAGGTTCTTTGTGTAATTAAAACAATACTCCTCTGATGTTTTGCAATTATAAAAAACACTGCAGTGTACAAATTCACTCATATATATTTCTGTTTTTTTGGATAGTAAAAATATACTTTATTTTTAAATACAATAGCTGCTAACAGTATACTGATGTTGATGTTCCAAGAAAATACATGTATTCAATAATAAGCTTTCATTTGCCTCTTCAAGAAATTCTAAAGAAAATAATCCAATTCTGTTCAACATTATGCCTTGAGGAGTTGAAATTTTTTCCATGATAAAAATATAATTTGTGAGGCCCAAACTTGATTATTTATAAAAGATGGAGTTTCTAAAAGCCCATATATATCAACAATGAATGCTCCCTTCTCTTTGAATGCTTAATTCAAATTGATGTAAGACATTGGTGAATCAATAAACTTGATGAAATGTGTATCAAAATGTTCATGAAAAAATACATTTCTATTTCCTCTCCATTTTAATTTGTAGATATTTTCTAAATGGGATTTTTAAGTGCACAGAAATAAAAGCTATCTACATGTAACTCTGGAGAGATTAAAAACACAACACAAGTAAAGTTAACATGCCTAAATCCTAGGGTTGATTCACTTAGTCTAAGAATAAATGTCAGAAATCTCTTAATTATATATAGATTGCTCAAGGGTTTAAAGATAAATTTGGAAAGCCAGAATTACCAAGAAATAAAATCTTATTTGAATTTTATCACAAAAGTTAACAGTCCTAGTAAAAGAAGACAATAGAACTGTATAGAAAATTCAAATCTACATCAAAAAAGAGTTTTATGAACTAGAACAGTAGAGCGCTTTTCAACTGTTAAATACGAAAATTTCTCAGAATCCCTTGGAAAACGAGACTTTCCATTCAGACTCCAATCTCATTTAAGTAAAACAAAACAAGGTGTTTAAATGAAGGGGAATGATTTGTTAGTTTTAAAAATAGAATCAGATGTTTTCCATTATGTTAATTCATACACTACATGAATTGCCTACCATAAAAACTTTTATGTCCCAAATTTCTCAAGATTTTAAGCTATGATCTTTCCATAAACCATACACTGAGGTAAAAGCATGTTGTAGGATCACTTTTTACTAGCATTCATCCATTTGCAAGTTTTCACTGCATTTGACTAACTTCCCTAATAAAGTAGTATCTGTCTTTCTACAGAGAAAAATAATTCTGCCTTCATCATAATCATAATAGACTTGCCTTCCTTGAACGTCTAGATAAATGGCCAAGTGTAATCACTGGATAAATAAAAAACAATGAAGAGAATAAATAAAAATGAAAATACTTTGCATTTCAGAATGTGTTTTTCATCACTCTGTTTTGAAGAATGAAGCTCTTTCCTTTGTTAGCCCTCCACTCTGCATCTCTTGGTCCACCATTCGCTGGAAAGAACAAACCTCACCTCTCTTGAATCTTTTTTATACATTCAGCTATAAAACAAGGTCCAATATTACCGGAATGAATGCCAAGTTGCCACTATTTTGAGAGTAGGTGAAGAGTGATAATGCCTGCCTGTGTACTGTACAGATGGGACAGTCTCACTAAAGCTACTGCAAAATAATTTCTCAATAGATAACTATATAGTGCTTCTTCCTTGAACCAGATAAATCATCATCCAATATTTTATTACGAAAGGATGGGTGCTTAAACTTTGATCAGCAGTAAGGAGTTTTAAGAAAGGTAAGGCAAAGGAATCTCCCTGAGCCAAATGGATACAATATGGAGCTTTTTGTGTCTTTCTATATTAAGCTAATTACTGATAGGTTCAAAAAGTGAAGTATGCTTATAAAAAGCTGCTTCCATAAAGGCAGTGCTTACTAAGTGTTAGCATGTCAAAGGGAGAAAACACTGTGATTTCAAAGTAATACACTTAAAATGTTAAAAAAAAAAAAGCCTACGAGAAACAGTACTTCCTATACAAGTTAGGTATCAAAAATTAGTAAAAATGGGCCGGGCACGGTGGCTCACGCCTGTAATCCCAGCACATTGGGAGGCCGAGGTTGGCTGACCAACATGGTGAAACCCCATCTCTACTAAAAATACAAAAATTAACTGGGCATGGTGGCACACGGCTGTAATCCCAGCTACTAGGGAGGCTGAGGCAGGATATCGCTTGAACCTGGGAAGCAGAGGTTGCAGTGAGCTGAGATCGTGCCACTGCACTCCAGCCTGGGCAACAGAACGAGACTCCGTCTCAACAACAACAACAAAAAAAGTTAGTAAAAATGTATTATAGTCACAACCAGTCTTTGGAATAGTAGTTAGAAAATTTGATTTTTTTACAGAAAGAATAAATACATAGCCAAGTGTCAGCAAGTTCATCCTCCCTTGTTAGAGGACAAATAATTTCTTATTTAGGACTTCAATTTAATAACAAAACAAAAAGCCCTCAAAAACAAAACAAAACCCAAAGAGGCAGAATGCTATTCCTCAGCTTGGTTATAGACAAATTTGACTCAAGGAAGTGCAATGAGTAAGATCAGGCAAGACTGTAGTAAATACACACTCCCCATGACTATAATTTAGTCCAAAAAGAATGAACAATCCTCTGCACAAGGTATATGGGCTGAGAGAGTTGGTAATCTGTGTCTATATTAAATATGCTTTAGAAACAAAAATTTACTTGATATTTTGGCAAACCCCCCAGTCATTCCTTAGGTTAATTTCTGTAAATGTTAATTTTTACATTACTAATCATTTTACTTCTTAGCTAAACTAATTATTAGTTTATGTAGTATTGCTCAAGAGATCTACAAATAATAGCAAGCTCTATGATCACCTAAAAATGAGCTATGTAAACTAAAGGAAGAAAGCAACAATGTTCCAAATGAATGGCACAGGGCACAATACGTATAAGTGAGCCTGTTTCTTGAATCCATCCCCTCAAAGGTAGATGATGATAGGCCCCACGGGTAGCAAAAGAATGGCTGTTTGAAGGGAATGGGGTGGAATGAGCTTGGATATGTGGCTATGGTGTGCACCCAAGTACATAAAAGGCCCCTTTGTTGTGTGGGGTGGAGCCTGGATTGGGAAGAGGATGGAAGGTGGCTGTGAGCTGGGGCCCTCAGACTTATATCCATTCCCAGGACTTGTAAATCTTAGTGGCAGTCCTATATATTGAAGTGATCTTTTAAAAGTGCATGCTTAAAAAGAATTCTTTATTCACATATCTGAGAAAATTGATAATATAGAGACACCTCCAAGTCCTGAAGTATGAAATGTGTAAGACCAAATAGAAATCATTTGAAAAAGTTGGAGGGCAAGTACTGCCTCCTCTAGAGCAAGTTTTAGTTAGAGCAAGAACTTGAAGAGAATGTTGAGAGAAAAGGATGAGGATAAAGATTTTGCGGATGACTGACCTTGTGTTCCAGGGGGCACAATGAAGGAGTTTCAAGTGAGGAAAGGGCATAGGATATGGGGTCAAATAGGGCATCTATGAAGTCAAAAGGTGAGTTAAATGTAAGAAATGAATGATTAATTTGGAGTGCTGGGCTTTCTATGGCAGTTTTAATAGCTTTATTGAGATATAATTCACATATAACATTTATCTATTAAAATATATAGTTAAATGGTTTGTAATATAGCATATTCACAGAGTTGTGCAATCACTAACATAATCTAATTTTAAAATGTTTTCATTGCTCCAAAAAAGAAACCTGGTACCCATTAGTAATCATTCCATATCCTGCTACCTTCTAGCCTCAGGCAAGCACTAATCTACTTTCTATCTCTGTAGAATTGCCTATTTTGGAAAATATGTAAATGGAATAATAAAATGCGTGTTTTTTTGTGACTGGCTTCTATTGCTTAGCATGTTTTCAAGGCTCATCTATATTGTAGCATATGTCAGGTTTTGTTATTGCTATTTGTGTTTGCTGAATAATATTTTGTAGTATGGATATACCACATTTTGTTTATCCAGTCATAAACTGATGGGCATTTAGATGGTTTTCACTTTTTGGCTATTATGAATAATGCTGCATTGAACATTTATGTATACATTTTAATGAGGACATCTGTTTTCATTTCTCTTGGGTACATGCCTAGTGGTGGAATTTATTGGCCATGTAGTAAATGTTATATAAATGTGCAAAATATAGACTGGGTATATTGACCCTGTATTAGTCTGTTTTCACACTGCTATGAAGAACTCCCTGAGACTGGGTAATTTATAAACAAAAGAAGTTTAATTGACTCACACTTCTGCATAGCTGGGAAGGCCTCAGGAAACTTACAATCATGGCAGGAGGCAAATGGGAAGCAAAGCACGTCTTACATGGTGTCAGGAAAGAGAGTGAGTGCAGGGGAAACTGCCACTTTGAAAATCCTCAGACCTCTTGAGAACTTTCACATTACTGCAAGAACATTATGGGGGAAACTGTCTCTATGATCCAATCACCTCCCTTCCAGGCCCTCCCTAACAGGTGGGATTAAAATTCAAGAAGAGATTTGGGTGAGGACACAGAACCAAACCATATCATCTGTCCCTCCCGCCTCCCATATCTCATGTCCTTTTTACATTTCAAAACCAATCATGCCTTCCCAAAAGTCCCCCAAAGTCTTAATTCATTCCAGCATTAACTCAAAAGTCCAAGTCCAAAGTCTCATCTGAGACAAGGCGAGTCCCTTATGCCTATGAGCCTGTAAAATCAAAAGCAAGTTACTTACTTCCAAGATACAGTGGGGGTACAGGCATTGGGTAAATGTTTCCATTCGAAATGGGAAAAATTGGTCAAAACAAAGGGTCCACAGGCCCCATGCAATTCTGAAACCTGGCTGGACAGTCATTAAATTTCCTTTGACTCCATGTCTCACATACAGGGCACACTGATGTGAGAGGTGGGCTCCCACAGCCTTGGGAAGCTCCACCCCTGTGGCTTTGCAGAGTACTGTCCCACTCCTGGCTACTTTCATGGGCTGGCATTGAGTGTTGGTGGCTTTTCCAGGCACACAGTGCAAGCTGTCAGTGGATCTACCTTTCTGGGTTCTGGAGGACAGTGGCCCTATTCTCACAGCTCCGCTGTGCAGTGCCCCATTGGGGCCTCCATGTGGGAGCTCCAACCCCACATTTCCCTTTCACACTGCCCTAGCAGAGGTTCTCCTTGAGGACACTACTTCTGCAGCAGACTTTTGCCTGAACATCCAGGCATTTCCATATATCCTCTGAAATCTAGGTGGAGGTTCCCAAACCTCAACTCTTGTCTTCTACACATGTGCAGGCCCAATACCACATAGAAGCCACCAAGGCTTGGGGCTTGCACCCTCTAAAGCGATGTCCAAAGCTGTACCTTGGCTCCTTTTAGCCACAGCTGTAGCAGCTGGGATGCAGGGTGCCATATCCTGGGGCTGCACAGAGCAGTGGGTCCCTGGGCCCAGCCCAGGAAACCATTGTTCTCTCCTAGGCCTCTGGGCCTGTGATGGGAGGGGCTGCTGCAAAGGTCTCTGACATGCGCTGGAGACACTTTCCCTATAGTCTTGACTATTAACATTCAGCTCCTTGTTACTTATGCAAGTTTCCGCAGCCTGCTTGAATTCCTTCCCAGAAAATTGGTTTTTCTTTTCTATCACATGGTCAGTTTGTAAATTTTCCAAACATTTACACTCTGCTTCTCTTTTAAACATATATTCCAATTTCAAACCATCTTTTTGTGAGCACATATAACTGTACACTTTCTGGAAAAATCATGTCACACCTTGAATGCTCTGCTGCTTAGAAATTTCTTCTGCCAGTTACCCTAAATCATCTCTCTCAAGTTCAAAATTCCATGGATCTCTAGGGCATGGGCAAAATGCTGCCAGTCTCTTTGCTAAAGCATAGCAAGAGTCACCGTTGACTCCACTTTCCAACAAGTTCCTCATCTTCATCTGAGACCCTCAGCCTGGACTTCATTGTCCATATCACTATCAGCATTTTGGTCAAAGCCATTCAACAAGTCTCTAGAAGTTCCAAACTTTCCCACACCTTCC
Organism: Homo sapiens; assembly: GCF_000001405.40. Taxonomy (NCBI): domain Eukaryota; kingdom Metazoa; phylum Chordata; class Mammalia; order Primates; family Hominidae; genus Homo; species Homo sapiens. The sequence goes on from NC_000001.11 coordinate 238,076,259, forward strand.
TGTCTTCTTCTGATCCCTCCAAACTGTTCCAACCTCTGCCCATTACTGAGTTCCAAAGACATGTCCCCTTTTTTGGGTTATCTTTATAGCAGTGCCTCACTCCTGGTACCAATTTCTGTATTAGTCCATTTTCACACGCTGTAGAGACCTCCCTGAGACTGGGTAATTTATAAACAAAAGAGGTTTAATTGACTTACACTTTTGCATGACTGGGGAGGCCTCTGGAGACTTATAGTCATGGCAGAAGGTGAATGGGAAGCAAGGCACGTCTTACATGGTGGCAGGAAAGAGAGTGAATGCAGGGAAACTGCCACTTTTAAAACCATCAGATCTTGTGAGTGAGAACTCCCTCAGTATCACAAGAATAGCAATGGGAAAACTACCTCCATGATCCATTCACCTCCCACCAGGTCCCTCCCTTGACATGTGGGGATTGTAATTCAAGATGAGATTTGGGTGCGGATACAGAGCCAAATCATATCAGAACTTCTGTTGTTTAAATCTTCTTAACAGGCACCCATTAGGTCAAAAGCCCTTTAGTGCCAAAGTAAAATTTTTATACATCCAATTGTTTTAAATATAACCCGTGTCAGCAGACTTAGCCATTTAGAGACTGCCTGCTTTGCATACTTTGTAAAACTGTACCTAATATCTGTTAGCTGTAGGTAAGATAAACCCTGTGGCTTTAAAGGACTCCAAGTTTTTGCTGCCTTGCAGAGTTCTCTGATCCAGCAATTCCCTGCAGTGCTCCGCAGTGACATTATTTAGACCCAAATCTTCTTGATCTCCTTCTCCCCTAGAAAGCTTCCCTCACCCTTCTTTTCTGGTGGTAGCCCACAGGCCTTTGCTTTTGAAAAGCTTCATACCGTGCAGGGCTTCACTCACATGCAAACCTGTCAAAAACACCACCTAAATAAAGCTTGTATGTGCTACTACTACTGTGGTTATATCTTGTAGTTATGTTTTTATCATTGATCAGCACTGAAATGATTAAGCCAGGAATAGTAACTCTATGCTTAACATTTTGAGGAATTGTGAAACTATTTTCTAAACTGCATGAACCATTTTGCAGTCCCACCAGTATTGTATGAGGGTTTCATTTTCTCCACATCTTTGCTAACACTTGTTATTGTCTTTCTGATTGTAGCCATCATACTGGGTATAAAATGGTATCTTATTGTAGTATTGATGTACATTTCTTTAATATTTAATGATGTTCAGCATCTTTTAGTGTCTTTACTGGCCATTTGTTTATCTTCTTTGGAAAAATGTCTATTCAAATATTTTGCTTATTTTAATATTGGGTTATATATATTTATTACTGAATTGTAAAGGTTCTTTGTATATTCTAGCTACATATACCTAATCAGATATATGCTTTGCAAATATTTTCTCCCATTCTGTACTTTGTCTTTTTACTTTCTTGATAGTGTCCTTTGGAGCACAAAAGTTTTTAATTTTTATAATGCCCAATTTATCTTTTTTTCCCCTTTTACTTCTTTTTATTTTGATGTCTTATCTCAGAAGCCATTTCCCACCCCATCATCATGATGGTTTACTCCAATTTTTTCTTCTGGTAGGTATATTTCATATGCTTGGGTGTGATTTACTTTTTGTTAATTTTGTGATGTAGTGTGAGATAGAGATCCAAATTCGTTGTTTATGTGGATTTGTCCAAGTATCACTTGTTGGAAAGACTATTCTTTCTTCAGTGAATTGTCCAGCCAACTCTGTTGAGAATCAATTGCCCATAAATGGGAAAGCTTATTTCTGGCTCTTAATTCTATCCATTGTTTTATATGTACATTCTTATGTCATTACCACCCTGTTCTGCTTACTGTATTTTTGTAGTAAACTTTGAACTCAGGAAGTACAAGCCCTCCAACATCATTCTTCTTTGGCTTTTCTGATTCCCATTTAATTTCATGTGAATTTTGGGATTAGCATGTCTATGTCTACAAAGAAAAGGCAACTGGAATTTTGATAGCAATTGCTTTGAGTCTGTAGATGAATTTGACAACTGTACTAGGTCATATTCACAGGGGCCCGGGTTTAGGACTTTAACATGTCTTTTGAGAAGACACAATTCAACTCACAACAAGGAATATTGTCATATCAATATTATTCTATGGATATGTGACATTTTTCCATTTATTTAGATATTCTTCTATTTATTTCACCAATGTTTTGTATTTTCAGTGTACAAGTCTTGCACTTCTTTTGTTAAATGTATTCCAAAGTATTTTATTCTTTTTGATGCTACTATAAATTATATTTTCTTAATTTAATTTTCAGATTGTCCATTGCTAATATATAGAAATACAATTTATTATTATATATCTCTCTTATATTTTGCTACATTGTTGCACTCATTTATAAGTTATAACAATTTTTTCTATGGATTCCTTAGTATTTTCTGTATGAAAGGTCATATCATTGCAAATGGAGATAGTTCTACTATGTTATTTCTTTCTTTCTTTTTTTTTTTTTTAAAGTAGAGACAGGGTTTCACCATGTTGGCCAGGCTTGGCTTGAACTCCTGACCTCAGGTGATCCACCTGCCTCGGCCTCCCAAAGTCCCAAAGTGCTGGGATTACAGGCATGAGCCACCAGTCACACTTTTCTTTTTCTTGCCTAAATTTCCTGGCTAGAATCTCAAATACAATGTTGAATGAAAGCGGCAAAAGTGGACAGCCTTGCTTCTTTCTTATTTTTGGAGGAAGGCATTCAGTCCTCTGTTGTTAAGTATGATGTGAGCTGTGAGGTTTTTGGTAGATGTTTTTTATCAGGTTGAAGACATTTACTTGGTATTAATTCTTTAAATGTTCTGGATAATTAATCTGGAACTGGGCATTTCTTTATAGAAAGCTTCAAGATTATTAACACAATCTCTTTACTTGTCATAAATCTACTCTAATTACATATTTCTTCTTGTGTCTGTTCCTGTATTTTGTGTCTCTCCAGGATATGGTCCATTTTATCTGTTATCTAATTAATTTTTTGAAAAACATTTGTTTCCAGGATTCCCTTATAATCCTTTATATTCTTTAAGGGGGTAGGTATATTCCTTCCTTCATTTCTGGTTTTTGAAATTTGAATCTTCTCTCTTTTTCTTGGTCAGCCTAAGGTAAAGATTTGTCAATTTTGCTGCTCTTGTCAATGAACTAGCTTTTGGCTTCATTAACTTTCTTGATTTTTCATCTCTGCTCTATTGCATTTATTTCAGCTGTAAGTTGTGTCTTCTTTCTGCTTGCTTTGAATTTATTTGCTTTTCTTTTTTAGTTTTATAATGTGGAAAGTGAGATTACTGATTTAAGATCTTTCTTCCTTTTTGATATTGGCATTAGCATCTATATATTTCCCTTCAATAACTGATGCTGCATCTCAAAAGTTTTGGTATTTTGTGTTTCATTTTCATTTACTTCAGAATATTTTCTAATTTCTCTTGTGATTTCTTCTTTGACCCACTGGTTATTTAATAGTGTGTTTTTGATTTTTAAAACTGAATTTTCCCAAAACCTTAGGTTGTTGGTTTCTAATTTAATTGGTTTAGGTCAGTGAACACACTGTATTATTTCAGTATATTGAGGCTTGTGTTATGGGCTAGCACGTAATCTATCTTGAAGAATGTTTTACGTGATTTGAGGAAAAGTGTATGCTTCTTCTGTTGGGTAAAATGTTCTATAAATATCTGTTCGGTTTAGTTGTTTTATAGTGTTGTTCAGGTCTTTTGTTACCTTGTTGATCATTGGCCTATGTGTTTTATCCATTACTGAAAGCAAGGTATTGAAGTCCCCAGCTATTATTGTTGAATTTTCTATTTCTTCCTTCAGTTCTGTATATTTTGCCTCATATATTTTGGGGCACTGTTATTAGGTACATACATATATTGTAATTGTTATTTCTTCCTGATGACTTGATCCTCTTATCATTATAAGATGTCATTAGTTTCTTTTAACAATGTTTGTCTTAAAGTCTATTTTGCCTGATCTTATTCTAAAAGCCCATCTTTTTGTTACTCCTTTTGTGATAGCGTGGTAATTCTTTCCGTCTTTTCCCATTCAACTTATTTGGGTCTTTGAATCTAAAGTGTGTCTCTAGATCATGGGTTTTAATTTTAAATTTTTATTTTCTTTAATCTTTCCTTCAGTTAGAATATTTAATCCATTTATATTTAATAAAATTACTGGTATACTAGAATATATTTCTATTGTTTTGTTATTTGTTTTCTGTGTCTTCTTTTTTATTTCTCTACTCCTTGATTACTGTCATCTTTTGTATTGAATAGATATTTTTAATGTAATGTTTTTAATATCACATTAGTTTCTTTGTTGCATATTTTACTATTTTTTTGTTATTTTCTTAGAAGTTGGTCTGGATATTACAATTAGTATTTCAATGTAAAATAATTTAATTCAGATTAATAGTGTGTTAATTTCAATAGGATACCAAGTATGATTTAGTGGTCAGCCAATGATCAGTAGAAGATTTTAATTTTTGTGGGTACATGGTAGGTGTATATATTTATGGGGTACATGAGATGTTTTGAAACAGGAATGCAATGTGAAATAATCACATCATGGAGACTGGGGTATCCATCCACTCAAGCATTTATCCTTTGAGTTACAAACCAATTATACTCTAAGTTATTTCAAATGTGCAATTAGCTTATTATTGACTATAGTCATCCTGTTGTGCTATCGAATAGTAGGTCTTATTCATTGTAACTTTTTTGAACCCATTAACCCTCCTCCCCTCCCCTGCAGCTCCCCTCTATACTATCCCAGTCTCTGGTAACCATTCTTCACTCTCTATGTCCATGAGTTCAATTGTTTTGACTTTTAGATCCCACAAATAAGTGAGAACATGTGATGTTTGTCTTTCTGTGCCAGGCTTTTTTTTACTTACCATATGATCTGTTACATCCATATTATTGCAAATGACTGAATCTCATTCTTTTTTATGGCTGAATGGTACTCCATGGTGTATATGTACCACATTTCCTTTACCCATTCATCTGTTGATGGACACTTAGGTTGCTTCCCAACCTTTGCTATTGTGAACAGTGCTGCAACAAACATGAGTGTGCAGATATGTCTTCGATATATTGATTTCTTTTTTGGGGGGTATATACCCAGTAGTGGGATTGTTGGATCATATGGTAGCTCTGTTTTTAGTTTTTTTGAGGAATCTCTAAGCTGTTCTCCATAGTGTTTGTATTAATTTACATTCCCACTGACTGTGTACAAGGGTGCCCTTTTCTCCACATCCCCTTGGATTTGTTATTTCCTGTCTTCTGGGTGTAAGCCATTTTAATTGAGGTGGCTGAGATGATATCTCATTGTAGTTTGGATTTGCATTTATCTGACGATCAGTGATATTGAGCACCTTTTCATATGCCTGTTTGCCATTTGTATGTCTTCTTTTGAGAAATGTCTATTCAAATCTTTTGTCCATTTTTTGATTGGATTATTAGATGTTTTTCTATAGAGTTGTTTGAGCTCCTTATATATTCTGGTTATTAATCCTTGTCAGATAGGTAGTTTGCAAATATATTCTTCCATTCTGTGGGTTGTTTCTTCACTTTGTTCATTGTATCTTTTGTTGTGCAGAAGCTTTTTAACTTGATGTGAAACATTTTGTTTTGGTTGCCTGTGCTTGTGGGGCATCGCTTAATAAATTTTTGCCCAGACCAATGACTTGAGGATTATCACCAATGTTTTCTTGTAGCAGTTTCATGGTTTGAAGTCTTGGATTTAGGTCTTTAACCCCTTTTGATTTGATTTTTTATAGTCTGGCTAAAGATTTGTCAATTTTGCTTAATATTTTTTAAAAAACCCTTTTTGTTTCATTGATGTTTGTATTGTTTTTTATTTCATTTATGCTTTGATCTTTATTAATTTTTTCTTCTACTAATTTTGGTTCAGTTTACTCTTGCTTTTCTACTTCTTTAAGATGCATTGATAGATTGTTTATTTGAAGGTTTTCCTCTATTTTGATGTAGCACTTATAGCTAAACTTCCCTCTTAATACTGCTTTTGCTGTTTAGGTTTTGGTATGTTGTGTTTCCATCATCATTTGTTTCAAAAATTTTTCAGATTTCTTCTTAATTTCTTCACTGACCCACCCAGTCATTCAGGAGCATATTGTTTAATTTTCATGTATTTGGATAGTTTCCAAAATTCCTCTTGTTTTTAATTTCTAGTTTTATTTTATTGTGACCAAATAAGATGATTAATATTATTTAAAATTTTTTGAGTGTTGTAAGACTTGTTTTGTGACCTAACATATAGTCTATCCTTGAGATTGATCCATATGCTGATGAAAAGAATGTGTATTCTGCAGCTCTTGAATTAAATGTTCTGTAAATATCTATTAGACCAATTTGGTCTGTAGTGTAGATTAAGTCTGATGTTTCTTTGCTGGGTTTCTTTCCGGAAGATCTGTCCAATGCTGAAAGTGAGGTGTTGAAAGCTCCAGCTATATTGCATTGGGGCCTATGTCTCTCCACCATGATTCTAAGTTTCCTGAGGCCTCCCCAGCCATGCAGAACTGTGAGTCAATTAAACCTCTTTCCTTTGTAATTTACCCAGTCTTGGGCAGTTCTTTATAGCACTATGAAAATGGACTAATATACCATTGTATGTTTTTTGGTTTGATGTTACCATGAGGTTTGCAAATACTATCTTATAACCCATTATTTTAACGTGTTAACAGCACTGTTTACATAAACAAATAAACATGCAAAAAGAAAACTAATAAAAACTCTGCATCTTCTATTCATCCTCCCACCTTTTAATTTTTTATTGTTTCTATTTATGTCTTATTTTACCGACTATGTCTTAAAAACTTGTTGTAGTTATTATTTTTGATTGGTCCATTGTTACGTCTTTCTACTTAGTATGAGCATAGTGTACACACCACAGTTACAGTGTTGTAATATTTTGTGTTTTTCTGTGTACTTACTATTACCAGTGAGTTTTATACCTTCAGGTGATTACTAATTGCTCATTAATATCCTTTTCTTTCTCATTGAAGTACTCTCTTAAACATTATTCTAGGACAAGATCTCTTAAATCAGCTTGTGGTTAATGCTGCCTGGCCTGGGACTCACCCATCAGAGTAGCAGGTTCCCCTCTGGTCAAGGACAGGTCCGGAAATGCCATCTAAGGGTCAAGTCTTGGAATTGAGGACTCCAAGAGGCCGCTTGGTGATCTACCCCACTGTGGCCATGCTGGTACCTAAAATGCAAGACTAAGTCCCCTTTACTAGTCCCTCTGCTTTTCTCAAGCAGGAGGAGTTTTGCCCCATAGCCATCATAGCTAGTAATGTGCCAAGTCTCACCTGATGCCAGCAAGTCTCAGAGGCTCACCCAAGACCCTCGACGTAATACCTGGGTATCACTGCTGGTTATTCAGTTAGCAGGTGATTAGTGCTGCCATAACTGAGTCTTTTCTTTCAAGGCATTTGGTTCCCTGTGGACCCAGGTGTGTCTAGAAATGTCATCTGGGGGCTAGGGTCTAGAACAAGGGCCTTACAACTCTGACCAGTGCCCTATCCTGCCGTGGCTGAGCTGGTATCCAAGATGCAAGACAAAGTCCTCCCCACTCTTCCCTCTCCTCTCCTCAAGCGAAAGGATGTGTCTCTTTTGAGCTGTGAGCCATGCAGCCTGGGATTAGGGGAGGGGTGATACCAGCAGTTCCTTGCCTACCCCAGCTGATGTCTCAGTGCATCTTTGCCCCCTATCAGGCCACTGTCTCTGGGCCTAGTTCAGCACTAGGACTCACCTAATAGTTGCCATTTTTATGGCCTAGACTTCCTTTCAAGTTTACTTGGAGACACACAACCATGTAACCTTCAGTGGCGAGGTTTGTGAGAACTCATGTTCTGTCTGCTGGGACAGGTGATTCTGCTCTGGGTAGGGCTGATTTACATGCTCCCTTTGTGGGTGGGTGTCAGCTGAATTTGGTCCGATTTTCCTTTCTGCTCTAACAGGACAGCACTGAGTCCAATGCCTCACAATTGCTATATTCTCCTCCCGCAACACCCAGAGATGCTCTCAGCAACCCCCTGCCATGGCCAGGGGTGGGGGAGGAGTGGCGTCAGTAATTCAGGACCCTTTTCTATCTCTTCAATGCCTCTTTCAGCAATAGGAAGTTAAAACCAGGTACTATGAGTGCTCACCTAATTTTGGTTCTTATGAAGGTGTTTTTTTTGTTGTTTTTTTTTTCTGTGTAGATTGTTGTTAAATTGGTGTCCTTGTGGAAGGAAAAATTGGTGGAGCCTTATATTCTACCATCTTGCTCTGCCTCCAAGCACATTTCATAAGTTTTAAAGACAATTTTAGCCTTCAGTTTCTGTCTTCTCAAGACCCCAAGTTCAGGCAGGGGTGATGACAGGCTTTTCCTTTCCCAGGTCTTTCTGGGCATATATACAACCTTGCACATGCAAACATCCTTTTAGATCCCCAGGAATATATTGAAGTTTTTTGTTTTTGTTTTTGTTTTTGTTTTTTCTTTTGAGCCGGAGTCTCATTCTATCACCCAGGCTGGAGTGCAGTGGCGCAATCTCGGCTCACTGCAAGCTCTGCTTCCCGGGTTCATGCCATTCTCCTGCCTCAGCCTCCTGAGTTGCTGGGACTACAGGTGCCTGCCACCATGCCTGGCTAATTTTTTTTTTGTATTTTTAGTAGAGATGGGGTTTCACCGTGTTAGCCAGGATGGTCTTGATCTCCTGACCTTGTGATCCGCTCGCCTCGGCTTCCCAAAGTGCTGGGATTACAGGCATGAGAGCCACTGCGCCCGGCCTGAAGTTTTTAAAACTTCCTTATGCTCACCTTGTTTTCCAGGAGCTGCTTTTAAATTACGGCCAGGCTTTTGTTTGCACCAACTGACTTCACAGCTCAAGGCAGCTGCAATGTTGTCAGTAAATTGTTATTGTTTTGGCAATGCCCTGGGAGTAGGGCTTTTGAGAATTTCAGCTGAGCTGGACTCCGAGTTAAGTCAAATAGCCACAACACCCCAGGAATAGAGATTTTGTGAGTAGCTTGAAGTTGAGACAAAATATTGACTATGCTGTGGAAATGCTGCTTTTAATGGAGTACCAAACAGGGTCAATCTTGTCTGTTAGCTCTGAGATTGCTTGTTTTTCATCAGGCTGTCAGGCCACCGAGCTTGGGAAGGAGGAGAAATGGAAATAGCCACGTGTCAAAATGTCAAAGACCCCACTGTCTTACGAAGGTTCAGTAATTTGTTTTGCATATATGTTTTTTTCAGTGTGTTCTCTGGCTTTGTTTAATTTTAAGATTTCAAAAATGGTTAATTTTAGTTTTCTCAGCATTTTTACTGTTTTGCAAGAGACTAGTCCACCACCGAGGTCTTCACTCCCTCATTCCAGAAGTTGATTATTTTTATAGCAATTAATATAAGCAGACAAAAATGGCATTATGTCATTAGTCCTGATAATTCCAAGGCAAAATAAATAAATAAATAAATAAATAAACAAGTAAAACGGTTGAGAGGCTCCAAATGTCAAGTGTCAAGGGGATGAGAAGAACTTTCCCAGAGCCAGAAACAGTTCTAAGACCTCCATCTGACCACAGCTGATGAAGACATGGAGGCTTGCAGATAGAATTATCTCTAAGATAAATTAAAGGAAGGGTGGTAGTTATTTACATGGTTTAAGCATCCATGGATGAGGGGATTTCTAGGTCAATCTACCAACCCCACCTTAAACTTTAATGCCTTTCTATTTGGAGTGGTAGTGGGATGAAAGAGACAGATGCCTGCAAATGTCTTATTTAGTATCATCTTATTCCAATGTTTAATATATTATGATGCTCTAGAACTTTGGCAGAAAATTACCAACTGGTGAAAATTGGTGTTCCAGATTGATTGGTAGATGCCTCCTCCTGTGTTTTATCTCCGGGCACATTAAATGTGAACAAAGCTAGTATAAGTAGAAAGGAATTATTTTGAGCATCCAGGCAAATTGCCTAAAACTGCAATAAATTGTCGGGAATATAGTATTGGCTAAGAACACATTTTTCACCTTATAATCAGGGAAGGTATACTAGGAATATTTGACTGCAGTTAATTATATATTGTTTTGGTAGCATCTAACGTGGAAAAGTCAGATGGCTTCCTTAGGGATAGGGAAGCCTCTTTCAAAACTTAGGAAGTGGGTATATACAGGATCTTAAGACAATGATTATCTCATGATTGATCATGCCAAAGTAGGCTTCTCTTTACCTTGTTGTGAACTGTGTCCAAGCCTAGGGCATTCCCTGTTATGCTATATTTCCCCTTTCCTATCCCATATTTTGATCTTAGAACAGATTATACTTATGCTTTGGAGTCATATGTCAGGTTCATTACAGTGGTATAAAATATTTTATCAATGCATAGATAACAAAAAATTGGGGGGCTTCATTCTAAAGGATGTATTTCATCTTGGGAATGTCTCAATAAAAATATTATAAAATTAAAAGCCAGTGAGATTAAAAAGCTCTATGGCTGCATCAGCTTTGCTCTTGCAATCAAATTTGCTCCTAGGCAGAGGGAAAATTTGCTGTAAGAATCTCAAACTTCAGAATTTGACAAAAGGAAAGGGCTTTAGTAGGAAACCCAGTCTCAGGGAAAAAAGGGTGTTTTTCTCTTGCAGACAATTCAGGAGGGTGAGAAACAGAAAGAGAAGGATGGCATGCCAGTAAGGGAAACAGATTACATTTCTTTTGGAGGAGGACCTAGGTTGTATCTGCTTGAAAGGGGTAGAGGAAGAATAGAGGTAAATTAAATACTGTATAATTTTCCATGAATAGAGAACAAGTGGTAGAAATGCATGTTTCTGTTGCTATTAAAATAGCAAAAAATACCCAAGACTGGGAAAATTAAAACATGAAGGGAAGACAAGGCAAAGAGCACACAAATGACACATTAGCCTTCATTTTGCCCTTGAAGGGAATGGCTTCGGAAGCATCAGCTGCTGCAGTTCAATTCGGTTTAGGTGTCTGTTGACATCCACTCTCTGGCTGGATCAAACATGGGGGCAAAGGAAAAATTTTCCTAATGATGCAGTGTCAAAGACAAAACAAAAATGTGAAGATGAATCTCTAAATTTAATGTTTTATTTGGGAAAAATAATTGCAATTTGGGGTATACATGTAGACCGGGTGGTCTTTTGTATGTCTGAAGAACAAAGAGAAGGTTAGAGGTTTTATGAAAAAGGTAAATGTTAGGTATTGCCCTTTGAAATAGTTCATTGGTACTAGTAAAGTTTTGGTGGGCTTGCAGGCTTCAACTGGGAGCAATGGTGGTGGAAAAATTAGTCCTAGGGTTGTAACAAGTTATCCTGGAAGCAGAAGATAAAACTGATTTTAGGTTACAATAAGCAGTTTCAGCAGTCAGGCTTGCAGAAAACTACATTCTTGGAACAATGTTTTTTATTCAGGGTACTCTTTCAGTTGAGTGCAACAAGAGTGATCCAATTCATATGATCAACTTTCATAACAGCATACATATGCTCACAAAAAAAGGGGTGAGCGTATTTACCTTTACTAGTGCCAATGAACTGTTTTGAAACCAGAGCAGGAGGCTGGGGCAGCAGGACAAAAATGCTTTGGTTAGCAATATGGCTCTGTGTTGCCACCGAAATCTTATATCAAATTGTGATCCTCACTGCTGGAGCAGACTCCTGGTGGTAGGTGATTGGATCATGGCAGTGGCCTTCCCCCTTGCTCTTCTGGTAATAGTGAGTGCTCACCAGATCTGTTTGTTTAGAAGTGTGTAGCACTCGCCCCTTCTCCCTCTCTCTTGCCAGGCATGTGAAATGTGCCTGCTTTCCCTTCACCTTATGCCATGATTATGAATTTCTTGAGCCATGCTTCCTGTACAGCCTGTGGTACCATGAGCCAATTAAGCCTCTTTTCTTTATAAATTACCCAGTTTCAGGTAGGTAGTTATACCAGTGTGAGAATGAACTAATACAGTTATCATCCTGGTTGAAATATAAACACAGAGTAAAGGACTGAACTGTAAGAAATACCAAGTCATAGATTTTGCCTGAGAGTTTTGGATTACTCTTCTCAAAGTAGAGCTTCTAAGTAGACCTCTGCACCATCTGGCTTTATAGTGCTGGAAACTCAGGGAGTCAAAATAAAATAGAAGTGAAGGTAATTTAAATATATAGGCTGTTCCCCGTTATAAACATGTGATCAATCTGGTGATTTCAGTTTCTTCCATTTAACATTTATATTATTGTGTTTCAGAAGGCAGGAGTACTTTAAATGCCATCCTCTAATAAAGGAGGAATCATGTATAGGTGTGTGTCATCCAACGGACCACAAGGATGGCTAAATAGAAAGAAGAGCTTTATTGGTGATATCAGTTTGCAAGTAGGGAAGAGAAAGTCCCTGGTGTGAATCAAAGGTGCTCTGTCTCCAAAGAGGGAAAGGAGGAATTAGCTTTTATGCCTCATGGGGTCTGTATTACACAATAGAGTCATACATATTCAGCAGGTTTGAGGGAATATCTGTACATATTTATGAAGGAAGCTGAGTGCATACACAATGAATAAACATATATGTAACATACATCCCATGCTCACTTTGGGGTGTGGTTTTAGCATTAAAATGAAGTGGAATTTGGCTCGATATATGAAAAGGTAAACTATAGGATGCAAATACAGCTTGTGTACAGTCTCCATAAGCTGGCTGAAAACTGGCTTGCAGTCTGTGGTTGTTTATCAAGAAAGAATGTTTGTAAGGCAGGTCCTTTGTCCAATCTGAGTTGTAGTGGCCTGGGTCGTAAATCAGTTAGGAACGGTATGACATTTTGCCTGATAGCTCCTATTGTTAGGCAGTTCAGCATGAGTGTGGTTTTTTTGTTGCTATAGAAATTCAGGGAGTTGCCATGCCAGCTGAGCCCTGGGCCCTTGGCCAGTAGGTAACTTTTTGTTTCCTTAACCTTAGAATCTATCTTAGTTGATACAGGGACATCAATTTAGATCTTTGCAATTGCAGATGGATGGTCTTCTCCTAAAGATATAGAAAGCATAGTATCATGATTCACTTCTTGTTGGGAGCTTTCTTCCATTTGACTCTAAATTCATAGGGTGTACAGCAAACATTAAAACATTGATTGGTATATGGTGAATTATTATGCAAGGGTAATTTCTCTTTTATTTCTTTATTTTTTCCTGTTCTTCCAGATAATACTACATTTCTGTTATGGTTTGTAGCTGGTAACAGTGTGTCTTTATATTATGAAGTATATTGGTTTATTGGTTAGGATGATTTTGGCTACAAGTAACAGAAGACCACAACTCAAAATAGCTTATTCAATAAGAAAGATATATTTTCTGATAAATAAGAAATCTGGAGATAGAACAAGTCTCAGTGTTGGCTTGTGCAGAGCTCAGTGATGTAAACAAGAGCCCAACTTCTTTCCTTCTCTCTATTCCTCTATCATGGTGGATTGTGTACTGTGAATAACTTAGTGAAGTTGGAAGTGTGTTTCTAAGAGTTTCTTTTCCTCTGTAGTTCTAGACTAGGGTTGACCTCAAGATAAATTTGCATGAGATTTGGATGTGAGAGATGAAGCAGCAGCCACTATACTTAGAAGCTGCTGCTTTTGGTTGTGCACATTGTCTTGATCTGCCAGCTCACATTATTGGCATGGAATGGCACACAGCTTCTCCAACACTCATGATATCTTCTCCTTCAGCTTCCTTGAGCCTTGGGACAGATGTGTGTGCATCTCTCTGGTGAAGGGCCCGACCTTCTATAGGTCATGCACAAAACCAAATTTGGTTGCTATGAGAGACAGATGCAGATTTCAGTTTGTTTTCGTGGATTCCAGTGTTGGCTTTGCTTTTTCTCACTTCACTTCCAGCTTTTCCTTTTAAATGATTACCTGTAGTGACTTCAAACCCACCACCAGATGCAGAAGCAATAACTTTCCATGGATCTCTTCACCAGCTCCCTTTTATGATCTCTGGTTAATTACTTCTCTATGATCCTCTAACAATTCCTTTCTGGATGTTTATTTCCCCTGCTTCTCCTAGAATTGAGGAACGCCTAATTCCTATAATAAATTATCTGTTCTATATCACTCATACAAGTTTTACTTCTCAGAGTGAATCTCTGCTGACACAGCCATCACCAATATAATGGTTAGCCCCCCTCATAGTTACAAGTCAGCCACCTCAGAATCAGGTAGCACATAGAGACATGATAACACACAGTAGGAGAAATATGACTGGGGTTTGGATTCACATCTTCGAAATCACATCTTCGAAATCACTCGGTTTCATAGAGAAGGTTGGATATTGGAACAAATTCAGATGCTTGCCAACAAGAAGGAAAGAGTTAATAATTATTGGGGAGGCTACCAGGAGAACTGCCAGTGCTTTATAAAAGGCTGTGAAAGTGGAAATGGTACTTGATAACCTCTAGATGTCCTTTGGTTGTTGAAGTTTTCAGAATATAGGACACATGAGAAATTTGGAATTAGATTCTGAGAGAGCTACATCCATTCCAGCAGAAGATGGTGTGGGCTGTTGAGGGTGATAAAGAAGGAAAGCAAATCACCTAGGCATCCAAGTATGGATGTTGTGGCTAGAATGAAAAAAAAATATAACAAAATTACGCAGAGAAGATTTTGGAACTTTAATTTACTTGGGAATTTAATGTCCTCAGTGGATAAAATATTTTAGTTAAGGATCTTTTTCTCACTTTTGAAAAAAGAAAATGGAGCTTCCATTTTTAGAATTTTTATTCTCTGTGTTGAAATTTAATGTCAGGGGTTTATATTTTACTAATTTGGGGCAACTATGTAGTGCTTAGATTTTCTCGTGTTTAGAGTCATCTTGAGTTGTTATATTGGACAACAGAGCTAGGTATGCTTTAAGATAGAAATAGATGATGGATTGAATTTTCAGCCTAGTTGATAGTGTGGCCTTCAAATTAACAATAATTTTTTAGACCAGTACTGAGCTCCCATCTCACCACTGCCCGGAGGATGTACATACCGAACAGCAGCACTGAGGAGGTAACCACATGGTGGTCAGGCGGGATTGACTCTGCAGCTCCTCCGTAGTGGGGCAGCCTTTATCATGATTGGTCATAGACTTGGCTCTTGTGCGTTTCTGGATATGGATCTGACTGTAGGAGATGCACACGTTTCTATACCTCTGGCTATTGTCCTTCTTGCTCCACCTCTTCCTTCTCAAGAGAAGAGGATTTGCTAAGATGATGCCTGAGCCATGTTTGCAGAATGGATTCACCTTAGCATACTGACATTTTGGGTCAAAAATGCATTGTTGTGGGAGCTGTCCTGTGATTGGTAGGGTGTTTTGCAGCATTCCTGATCTATACTCATAGCTTCTGGTGTTATGTTAAGTAGATGGTGTTCTCATCTTCTTACCCGGCAGCCGGAACTCTAGCGTTGGAGATCATTCCCAGATTCTCTTATACATATGGGTAGCCAATGAGATATAAGCAGAAATCAGTGGTCTGGGCTGCCAGAACAAGTCTTCAAAGGAAATAGTAGGGATATGACTAGGTAACAGTAGTATCCCTGCCCAAGTCAGGGCATCAAAGATGCCTCAAGACATTGCCACATGTCCCCTAGAAGGCAAAACCACCCCTGGGTGAGAACCACTGAGTGAAAGGAACATGGGCTTCTGTGTCTGTTTATCTTTGGCTCTATTTGTTAAGACTGTGGGGCTAAGTCAAGAGGCCCTTGAGTCTTCGCTACTTTTTTTTTCTCTATAGAAGAGACTTGTAGCTGTTCATCTAATAGACATTCTCATCTTCTTACTCAAAAGCCAGAACTCTAGTGTTGGACATTATTCCCGGATTTCCTAGTAGATATGGGTAGCCAGCCAGATATAAGCAGAAATCATTGTTCTGAGCTGTCAGGACAGGTCTTCAAAGGAAATAGTCAGCTACAAATGGTGTTTTGTCCTTCCCCCATCCTCCTTATTCCTGGGTGTAATGTGGATGTGTTGACTAGAGTTCCAAAAGACATGTTGTTAACATGAGGTGCTCTGGAAGATTGAAGCTAATGATAACAATAGTGAAGCAAAAAGTTACAAATAGCTCCCCTAACAGCCCTGGATGATTACCACTGTATTATATGCTATGATAGAAAAATCAAAACTCATACTTTTGTATACAGGTGATATAGAAAAGAAAGCTTGGAGGATTCTATGTGAGGTTTTATGTCTAGATGAGAAGTGTTGTCAATAATTTCTACCCTCTTTCCATTAACTAGAATGGCTTCTATGGCTGCCCCTGTCTGCAAAGGAGGCTGGAAAAGCTAGTATGGCTATACAAGGAGGAAGAGGCAATGAGTTTTATGAGTTTTTTAGGTTGCATTGTGTTTCTCCATGTGTTAGTCTGTTCTTCACACTGCTAGTAAAGACATACCTGAGACTGGGTAATTTATAAAAGAAAGAGGTTTAATGGACTCACAGATCCACGTGGCTGGGGGGAGCTTCACAATCATGGCAGAAGATAAAGGAAGAGCAAAATGACATCTTACATGGTGGCAGGCAAGAGAGCATATGCAAGGGAACTCCCATTTATAAAACCATCATATCTTGTGAGACTTAATTCACTACAAGAACAGTATGGAGGAACAGCCTCCATGATTCAATTATCTCCACCTGGCCCTGCTTTTGACACATGGGAATTATTACAATTCAACGGGAGATTTGGGTGAGGACACATCTAAACCATATCACTCCAAAAGTTAAGTATATGGAAATTCTAATCTTCAGTGCTTCAGAATTTGACCGTATTGGATATAGGTTATTACAGATGTAATTGGTTAAGATAAGGTCATGCTGGAGTAGGGCAAGTTTTTAATCCAATGACTGATGTCCTTACAATGACTGACGTGATGACAGTTGGAGACTGGGGAGTTGCATCTACAAGGATACATCAAGGAGTGCCAGCAAACACCAGAAGCTAGAAGAGGCAAGGAAAGATTCTATTCTATAGGTTTTAGAGGGAGTGTGGCCATGCTTACATATTGACTTCAAACTTTTATCCTCCAGAACAATTTGTCAATACATTTCTGTTTTTATAACTCACCTAGTTTGTGGTATTTTATTACAACAGCCCTAGGAAACTAATACAATGAGTACTTAGCCAATCTTGAGGACAATGCATTTTGATATTTTTTTTTTTTTGGTCAATGTGCTCCAAGAGCTATTTAAACATAGGCAATAGGATAGACTGAATAGACAATGGAAGTTATAAGACTGAGATAGGAGTATATCAGCATTGGAGGCGGCTTCACTTCCTCACCTTCCAGACAAATGCGGTTCCTCTCTTTCATGTTCTCACGTAACATGTTGCTCCTTCAAGGACACATGAAATCCAAGTAAGGCTCACCTGAGACACATCTACTCTCCAGGTTCCTGGCCATACAGAATTCTGTGTGTGGAAAATTATAGAACCAATATTATAAGAACAGAGGCTGTAACCTCTGAATATACTAAGCAAATAAACATGACCATAAAAACAAAGATAAAAACAAACTCTGTAATACCCTGTAATGTCCTCATGAGAGTCACTGCTCATGAGTTTCATAACAGTCAGTAAGACACACATGACCCCTTTACTCAGGAAGCTTGTTGTGAAAATAATTTGAAAGATAAATTCCTATTTCAATGGAAAAAATAATAATGAACCAAAACCACACAAGTTCCTAAACAACTGTTTCTTTTGCTGCCTTTTGGAGACAAGAAAACAATAGATTCCTATACACTTTTTAAAATAACATGCTTTTATTTGGAAATTTAAAACCTTAAGATTGTTCATTGAATTATGTATGTCTCCATCATAAAAACTCATCATTATGTGTAGGACTTTGACATTTTTGTAAAATGGAGAAATCTCATAATGTCATCTAGTGACTATTGAATATTGTTCTATATTAACAAGAAATTATTCATGAATTAGTATTTCCTAGGAAATTCTTTTTAATATTATAACATTTCTGATAATGATGTTATTTTGATAATAAGAAATTCAATGTCTCTGTCATTGAGAAACATTAGATGATTAGTGAAATTCACTTATTCTTTACAAAAGTCACTTTTATGTACCATTTTCTTCTTTTCTGTGAAGTCTTCTGATTATTTCCTGGGATTTGCAAAATGGGCTCTAATTTTAGTGTTAGAGGTATTGTCATATTGGAATAAAGAAAAAAATAGAAAAACTCATCAGTATTTTAACTTTTATTTTAATTATCCAAATGTGAGTTTGAACTCCTAATATTTCATTTAGTAGCTATAGTAATTTCAGTAACTCCACAATAAAAATAGGTGCATATAATAACACATCATTTCAAAGAGGCCCTTCTATCATGTGCCTAGAGGCCTAGATATACTGTGTCACAAAGACACACCCATGATTTCTGCTTTTTTTTTTTTTTTTTGAGTAATGGTTTCATTCTGCCACCTAGGCTGTAGTGCAATGGCATGATCACAGCTCATTGCATCCTTGAACTCCTGGCCTCAAGTTATCCTCCCACCTCTGCCTCCTAAGTAGCTGAGACAACAGGCACATGCCACCATTTAAAAAATTTTTTAAATTTTTTTGTAGAGATGGGGTCCCCTTGTGTTGCCCAGGCTGGTCTGGAACTCCTGGGCTCAAGTCATCCTCCTGCCTTGGCCTCCCAAAATGCTGGGTTGACAGGCATGAGCTATCTTATGCCCAGATGATTCCTGCTCTTATAGAGTTGGTATTGGTGTCCTCTGTCCTTCCCCTTGGGGGTGGCATGGGGGCCTTGTCATTCCCCTTGAGGGTGGCATGGGGGCCCTTTTGGGCTGGGCGCAGTGGCTCATACCTGTAATCCCAGCACTTTGGGAGGCCGAGGAGGGTGGATCACGAGGTCAGGCGTTTGAGACCAGCCTGACCAACATGGTGAAACCCCGTCTCTACTAAAAATACAAAAATTATCTGGGCGTGGTGGTGCATGCCTGTAATCCCAGCTACTCAGGGGGCTGAGGCAGGAGAATCGCTTGAACCCGGGAGGTAGAGGTTGCAGTGAGTCGAGATTGCACCACTGCACTCCAGCTTGGGCAACAGAGCAAGACTTCGTCTAAAAAAAAAAAGAAGGCACTTTTACTGGGACATTATGGAAAAATCTTTGCTCCTTCCCACTCCTTGCTAAGAACTATTCTTAAAATCAAGTAAGAAAGATTAAAGATAAAAGGAAATGATCTGGAAAAGTAGTGAAGTGAAAATTCGGTCAGAAAAGGAAGGAAGTAGATGTGTGCTATGTGTATAACCCTGCTGTTAATGTGACGAGTTTTGTATGCTGAATGCTCTGTGTTCTATGTTACTATTTACCTTCACTTAAGACAGATTTCTAATATATTTAAAAGGTTCTGGAGACTCAGGCATATATATGTTTATATATGTTGGGTAATTAGAACTGTGACATCTCTTAAATATACAATTGACCATTGAACAACACATGTTGGAACTTCATGGGTCCATACATGGATTTTCTTCTGCCTCTGACATTGCTGAGACAGCAAGACCAACCCCTACTCTTCCTTCTCCTCCTTCGCAGCATACTCAATGTGAAGGTGACCAAAATGAAGAGCTTTATGATGATCCCCTTCCACTTGATGAATAGTAATACATTTCCTCTTCCTTATGATTTTCATAGTAACATTTTCCTTTCTCTAGTTTACTTTATTGTGGTAATACAGAATATAATACATATACAAAGTATGTGTTAATTGACTGTTTATGTTATCTGTAAGACTTCTGGCCAACAATAGGCTCTTAGTAGTTAAGTTTTGGGGGAGTCAAAAGTGATATGCAGATTTTATCTTATGAAAATCCAGGGTGTGAAGGGATTGGCCCCCAACCCCTGGTTCAAGGGTCAACTGAGTATCTAGGTTGGCTTATATAGTTCATATATTTTCTTCTTGTAATATTTAAGTTTTTTTTTCACCAAACTTCTCCTCTACTTATTTCCTCATACAAAATAATTAAAAATACTCCAAGAAAACAAAAGGTGCTTTGTTCTTTATTTCTCCAAAGCATTTAGCATAAAGTAATCTGTGTGGCAGTCTCTCAATATCTTAGCTGAATAAATGATATGCTTGCAACCTAGTAGGCTTTAAATAAATGTTTTTTTGAATTGCATCACAATTCTTCAGGGTTCTAGATTCTATGGAAACCAGCGTGTCTCTGTCCTACTTTCTTGGTTAAGATATTGGCAGTGTAAACTGAAATATGTCTGTGTTGTTAAAATCATCATGAACACTTTATTCCAGTCTTACAGTACACAGGAAGAAAATATCCACTTGTTCATGGTTTCCGTGAAGACTGATCTTAACCAAGTCACTTCCCATTATTTTATCACAATTTATTGGCTTTACATATTTTCATTTATGTTCCTTAACATGAATCAAAATAACTTCAGGAGACTGTTTCTCCCAGGTGTAACTCTTTGCACAGTGAGAAATTTATTAATCTACTCCAAGGTCCCTGGGATGTTTCATTATACTAATTCAAAGTAGTAGACTTGTTCTGTCTTTATGTGAAAAGAAATCATTTAAGAAAATTTGCCCTTTTAATTAGTTAAAATGCATTAACTGTAATGGAGATTTTTCTCTAATTCGTAGTGGAAGTTTCATTCTAACAATAAGGAAAAAATACCAGTTGTTATATGCATTGATTTATTATTTCTTATAACAGAAACCAATGCTCAGTAGATGTTTATATAATATGTCTTTCATAAAAAGTATTATGTCTCTACAAACTATATGACTCAAATAGATTCCAAATAGAACTATGAGGCTCATAGCACAAAGAAAACTTATAAGAATTTTCAGTGCTCATTATTCTTCTCCTAGATAGAAGAGAGTAAGTAGCATTACTGAATATAGTTCAGCAATATTATACTATTGCAACAGAACTAATGACTTAATAGAGGTATTAATTGTCTTAAAATGTATAAAATTATAAATTTTTTGAGTTACATTATTTCTTGGCATTCTTCGAATCTAAGCCTATTGTTTTGGTAGATGGGGAAAATATTACTGAGCTCGAAATACTCAGCTCATGCATTCAACCCAATGCAATCAGTGATGACAGGCATAGCAGGAACACAGGATAAAGGAACAGCTTATGCTGAAGGAATAAATGCTTCAGCAGCTTTTTTCAAGAAGAAGAAGAGGTTTATGAAAGTGCCTACCCAGAACCAGATGACTAGTGTTTCCAGGAGTGAAAATGATGTGGAGATGAGGAAGAAGTGATTTAGAACTACCTTTGTCAATTTGGGCTGCTATATAAAAACCACCATCAACTGGATGGCTTACACCCAACAGAAGTTTATTTCTCATAGTTCTGGAGGTGAGAGAGTCCAAGGTCAAGGTGCCAGCTAACTATGTGTCTGGTGAACCTGTTTCCTGGTTCTTAAATGGTACCATCTTCCTGCGTCTTCACTGGCAGAAGTGGCAGATGAGCTCTCTGGGGCCTTTTCTTTTTCCTTTTCCCTTTTCTTTTCTTTTGAGACAGAGTTTTTCACTTGTTGCCCAGGCTGGAGTGCAATGGCACAATCTTCAGCTCACTTCGCCTCCTGGCTTCAAGCGATTCTCCTGCCTCAGCCTCCCGAGTAGCTGAAATTACAGGCACCTGCCACCACGCCCAGCTAATTTTTGTAGTTTTAGTAGAGATGAGGTTTCACCAGGTTGACCAGGCTTGTCTCAGACTCCTGACCTCAGATGATCCGCCCACCTTGGCCTCCCAGAGTGCTGGCATTACAGGTGTAAGCCACCATGCCCAGCCTCTGGGGCCTCTTTTAAGTGCACTAAATTCACACAGCACGTCTCATTTTAGGGTGTATGTGGTGCTGTAAATGAATATCACTAGATTTTAGATGTATGTTAATGGCAAGTAGTTTTACATTTGAATCTAAGGCATTATTTATAAGGCATATCCTGTGAGATAATAAATAGGAAGTTCCCTATTATATATTTTACAGTCTTTCTGAATTGTGTGCATGTAAGACCAAGAATATATGAATCAATAAGTCATGATTATTTATGCTAGTTATTCAGACTGGAGTAGTGTTGGCTTTGAACCACAGAGCCACTCTAGAAATGGCTGCTGATAAAAAACTGTATAAAAGGCCATCTGGATTTAGCCTTTAGACTTTGGGAACTGACAGTATCCCACTTTGTTGTCAGTGCTTCAATCATTGCCTTTGACCACTGTCTTACCTAGGATGGTGACGATTCTCCAATTTGGTACAGCACCTACTTCTTAAAGCTTTTTCAAATTTGTAACATATATGATATGGTGCATTGCCACAGCAAAAAAATAAAACAAAAAGGACTACTTGTAGAACATTAGTGAGTGTATCAGCAAATAACCATATGCACTTTTTGGGGTGATGTAATCACCTTCCAAAGGTCTTACCTTCTAATGCCAACACATTGGTGATTAGGTTTTTCTTTTTAAAAAAAAATTAGTATTTTTTTGTTTGTTTGTTTTAGAGACAGGGTATCTCTCTGCAGCCCAGGCTGGACTACAGTGGTGCAGTCATAACTCAGTGTAACCATGAACTCCTGAGCTCAAGAGATATTGTTTAGACTTCAACATGTGAATTTTGGGGGGACCATTCTTCAGACCAAAGCAAGAACCAAAAGACAAAATACAGTGCAAGCCATAGTGATAGCAGAGCAGATAGAGCAGTGAAATAACAGAGAAGCCTTTTTGTTAGGTATCTAGGGGAGATTGATAGAAGTTTCTCCTAGAGAAGGGGGTTTCCTGTTTGTTCAACCATGTAAAAGACATAAAAGGGTCTTGGTGTGTTTTGTGCTGCTATAAGAGAATACTTGAAACTGGGTAATTTATAAAGAACATTTATTTCTCATCGTTTTGGAAGCTGGCAAGTCCAAGACCAAGGTACTGGCAGGTTTGGACATTGGTTCCAAAATTGGGACTTGTTGCTACATGCTCCAGAGGGGAGGCATTCTGTGTTCTCACATGGCAGAAGAGGGAAATCCACTCCTGCAAGTCCTTCTTATAATGGCATTACTCTATGAATGGAGGCAGAGCCCTCATGACCTAAACACCTCCTAAAAGGCCCCACCTCCCAACAAGTTTCCAACACATGAATTTTGGAGGTCTCATTCAGATAATAGAAAAGGCAAATCATGTCTGGAAAATTAAATGTACTTTTAAGCATAAAAATTCTCCACTTTTAGCCAAGTAAAAGAGGTTTTTGTTTTTTGTTTGTTTGTTTTCCCCAAAGGAACTAAATCTACCTTTCTCTTAAAATATCAGGCTTGTGTACAATGAGATCATCATTTTTGAAACTATTTCTTACCTGGTGTGTATGTGTATTCTGGGCACTAAAGTCTTGACTGAAATTGTAAGTTACGACCCATCTGATAATTGAATATCGTATTATACACTGGAGGTGGCATAGAATGGTTCAGCTAGGAGTAAATATGCTGTGATATATTAAGTTCATTCCTACATATATATCCCCAAGGAACTGCTTGAACATATCAACAACAACAACAAAAATGTACAAATTGAAGAATTATGTGTGGTAGCCAGGAGGGAAGGTTGGTTTTCAGAAAATGGTGCTGAGTGAAAAATAAATAGGAGAAAGAGAATGAGATTTGCCTTTGTCCATTTTGTGTTGCTATAACAGAATATCATAGACTGGGTAATTTATAAACAGTTAAAGTTTATTTGACTCATGGTTCTGGAAGCTGTGAAGTTCAAGAGCATAGCCCTAGCATCTGGTGAATTCCTTCATGCTGCGTCATTCCATGGCAGAAGGTGGAAGAGCAAGAGAGGGTGAGAGCAAAAGAGCAAGGGGTACCTGAACTTCCTTTTTTAGCAATCTAGTCTAGTAATAACTAACCCATTCCCATGAGGACATCGATCCATTCATGAGGGCTCTATGCTCATGACCTAATTACTTCTTATTGGCCCATTCCTCAACATTGTTACATCAGGGATTAAGTTTCCAACATATAAACTTTGGGGGACACATTTAAACCATAGCAAGATCTACAATAAAATTTGCACAAATCAGATAAACACATGTTCCATATATTTTGCAAATTCAGTTGTATGTATTGAATGTATTAGGCATTTACCTCTGTCTGAGAGGGTTTGGAGATGTGAGTGAGTTAAAAACAAATAAGTGGCAGGGCGTGGTGGCTCATGCCTGTAATCCCAGCACTTTGGGAGGCCAAGGTGGGCAGATCACGAGGTCAGGAGATCAAGACCATCCTGGCTAACACAGTGAAACCCCATCTCTACTAAAAATACAAAAAATTAGCCGGGCGTGGTGGCAGGGGCCTGTAGACCCAGCTACTCAGGAGGCTGAGGCAGGAGAATGGCGTGAACCCAGGAGGTGGAGCTTGCAGTGAGCCGAGATCGCGCCACTGTACTCCAGCCTGGGCGACAGAGCAAGACCCTGTCTCAAAAAAATAAATTAAATAAATAAATAAATAAATAAATGAGTAAAAAATGAGCAATAAGTATGGTAAAAAAATCGATAACTGCAAGAAATTGAGGAATATATGTTTTTTCCAACTTTAATATCTTAAGTCAAAAGAACATAAGGTAGAAAGAAAAAGAGAAGAAAGGAGGGAAGACAGGACGAAAAAGGAAGGAAGTTTTGTAGTATATTGATGGATTCCTTCACTGTAGAACAAGATAAATTGGAAGATGCTAAACATGCTCTACGGAATTTTACAGTTTACTGAACAGTTAATAAGAAGGCCATAAGTATTCATTGTCTTCACTCCCTTGACCTTGCCTGCCTATCTTCCTTCCCATAAAATAAACTACAAACAATCCTTTTTCAATCATTATTGAAAAGGAAACGGAAGCATATTAAAGAGATATGTGCGTCTAAGGCTGAGCCATTTCTCTAGGAGAAGCATGTGCTGTCATTTGCTGATAATGTTCTACATGTGATGCCACATTTTCCAATTTGCTAAAAATTTGTTTAACATTTGCAATTTATAATGTTTAAGGAGCACGTTTACCCGATTAGAGAATATACCTATGGACAGCTCAGAATTCAAACAACTGAAAAAACAGATTTTGGCTTATTTAGAAAAATTTAAAATATAGAGCTGGGCATGGTGGCTCATGCTGGTAATCCTAGCCCTTTGGGAGGCAGGGGGATCAATTGTGCCTAGGAGGTTGAGGCTGCAGTGAGCTACGATTGTGCCACTGCACTCTAGCCTGGATGACCCTGCCTCTAAGAAAACGAAACAAAACAAAACAAAACAAAACAAAACAAAACAAAACAGCAATCCAGAAAGCCCCATGCAAAACTGTATACTTGCAAGCTCTGACCATGCAAAATAAAATACAATTGAGGAAATTATTTGGAGCATATAGATAGAAAATGTACTGAAGGATGTAGTGCCCTGTCCTTTTCTCCCTTCAGGATGAAGGTGCTTGTTCTCCTGCGACTGGCTGGCTAGGAATCCCTCTGTGGAGTCCTACTCTAGGCATTGCGTTGACTAAAGGGGGCTGCCTCCTTGAGGGAGGCCCCCACCCTAAGCAGCTTGCATCCAAAAGCTTGGTTCTGTGAGGTCCACATCTTCACACCTAAGGGAAGAACAACTCTGAGGGGCTTTTCCAGATGGTCTCTGCTGAAGCTGTTGTGAGGCCTTCATGAAGCCCTGCATCCAAGCTCAACTTTCTCTCCTGCTAATTTTCTTCTCCCAGGTTGATCCCGAGTGCTGCCCCATTAAGGCCACTACACCTGATTCTCCATGGACTCTGTTTCCCATGGGGGAACTGGAACTAAATAATAATTTAATAAATTAATTATAATTTATTATAATTAATAAATTATAATAAAATAATAATAAAAGAAATTCCCAATGATGGAAAAGAAACATTTGAGATGACTAGATGTCTTGTCACCAACACTGTTATGCTGACTTCGGTTCTGGAAAAGAATGATAATCACAATCATAACAATGATACTACTGCTAACAGAGTTATGGCTTTGTGTTAGGTACTGTCTTAAACAATAGAATTACAGAGACTGGTAAGACATGGCCCTTGGCCTAGAGAATCTTAGGATGAGTGAAACTTCTAAACAATTATTTAATGGCAAATTTTCTTTTATCTGTGTAGTTGTGTCTTTGGCCTGTTCTCATCACAAGAAAGTTGAGCTAGACCGTGAAATATCTGGAATATATATTAATAAACTGGTAGGTTTTTCAGTCATCTTTTAAAGCCTGGAATCAGTGGAGAAGATAATTTAAAAATTTATACTTATATTACCTAGAGTGGAATTCCAGCTTTTATTTATTTTTGTTTTGCCAGCCATAATATGCTATCAAATTACTTTTCATTTAGTAAGTAAGTCCCCATCAGCTTAGGCTGCTAAGACACAGGCAAAATCTTCCAGGGAACAAAATATGTATCCTGGATGAATAATTCAGAAGTAATTAAGGTTGAAATATTTGTATCAGGTTTTCTTCCTAAAATCTTGCACTTTGAATGCGTTGCATTGCATAAGCACAGAGAATTCCAATGACTTTTTAAAGATTTCTTAAAACGATTTGTTAATGAAAGTACCTCTTTAGGAGATAAAGAGGGAGAAGACCTTAATTATAATCTGGTAGAAGAAAAATATATATATGTAACCTAGATACCCTGGGATACAAATAGAAAACAGTATGCTATAATTGATATTACAGTTCTATATCAAAAACCTTAACTTTAAAAATAAGTTTTATTTCAGTATCTTTAGGGGTACAGGTGGTTTTGGTTATGTAGATTAATTTTGTAGTGGTGAAATCTGGACTCTAAGTGTACCTGTCACCCAAATAGTGTACATTATACCCAACAGGTAATTTTCCATCCCTTCCCCCCAATCCCCCTTCCCCCTGCTGAGTCTCTAATGTCCATTATACCACTCTGTATGCCTTTGCATACCCATAGCCTAGTTCCCACTACAAGTGAGAACATGGAGTATTTGATTTTCCATTTCTGAGTTACGTCGCTTAGGAAAATGGCCTCCAGTTCTGTATAAGTCACTGCAAATGATATTATTTTGTTTTTCTATGGCCCAGTAATATTCCATGGTGTATATGTACCATATTTTGTTTATCCACTCATTGGCTGATGAGCACTTAAGTTGATTCCATATCTTTGCAATTGTGAATTGTGCTGCAATAAGCATATGTGAGCAGATGTCATTTTTATATAATGAATTTCAAAAACATTAAATTTATCAAAGATACGTGATTTCAAAAAATGGAACCCAGTCAGTTTATCAATAGAATAGAAAATAAGTCAGTAAATTTCAGACACCTCTGGATGTGGGACTAGATTGATCTTCCTGCTGAATTTACAGATGTGAAGGGGATGATCAAATTGGCTGAGTTGACTGATTCTCACTGTCAAGGGCAAATTCAAGAGGGATTGGGGGCACAACAAGGAGGAGTCTCTCAAATGTTGAAGATCATCAGGAGTCCTCAGAGAGCCCTGTTGTCCCATGGTAACTGTATTAGTCCATTTTCGCGCTGCCGATAAAGACATACCTGAGGCTGGGTGATTTATACTGAAAAAGAGGTTTAATGGACTCACAGTTCCACGTGGCTGGGAAGGCCTCACAATCAGGGTGGAAGACAAAACGCACTTCTTACATGGCAGCAGGCAAGACAGAATGAGAGCCAAGCAAGAGCAGTTTCCCCTTATAAAACCGTCAGCTCTCGTGAGACTTATTCACTCCCGTGAAAACAGTATAGGAAAAACCACCCCCATGATTCAATGATCTCCCACTGGGTCCCTCTCGCAATACGTGGGAATTTGGAAAGCTACAATTCAAGATGAGATTTGGGTGGGGACACAGGCAATCTGTATCAGTAACCATGCCAACAAAGGACACAAATCCTCAAGAGTAAAGGTTTGGGTCACCCCAGCTGGCAGCAAACCACAGCATTCCTGCTGAATATAAAAGGAACATGGAATGGGTAGAAGAAAATGTGGTAACTTCATCAATATTCATCCAGTTTTAAAACATTTCCAGTTTTTTAAAAAGGCCTAAAATATTTATGAGTATTTTTCCTTCTTATAATACGAATGTAATTGTAAATATATTAACCAATTCTTTTTCTCCCCAGCCTCCATTTTCTTTTTATCTAACGTGATGTATTAATAATGGATAACCTTATATTTCAGTATTTAAGATATAGGATAACAAAGGCAGTGATAACAGCAGTAAACACTAACCAGGGATGGACAAAGTGCATGTTTTCATATCCTCTTTTGGGGGGCATTAGCATGTGTTTGGTCGTATGACGGGTAGTTGCATCATACTGGGTAAAAGGGTGATTTTGCCAATGTCTCTATCTGGAAGATAAACATGGGTAAAGCAGGTGTTTGTGGATGCCATGTTGATAAGGAGCAGGTTGTACAGGATTGTCCTGGGCCACCTTGGCTAAGGCTGGAAACTACTTTTCCTAGAACCCCTTTCCCTAAAGATATCTGGATTAGAGAGCCATAAAGGAAGGGAAGAAGCAGCCACTCACCTCAGAAAGTGAATGTAGGCAGATTCAGCAGGGGACGGCATCTCCCAACACTTTACTCCATGCTCAACTGGCTTTCCAGCTATGACTCTACTGACCAACAACAACCCCTGGGCTAACCACCAGGCAGACACATGTCAATAAGCCCTAAAGACTGTGGCCACACAGAGGTGGCAACTTCTAGGCCTCTCATGAGCTCCCCTTCCCTGTCCCATCTTGGCAGCTAGACATGCTTATGTCTCAGTCTGCTCAGGCTGCTACAATGAAATAGCATAGGCTGGGTGGCTTAAACAACAGACGTTTCTTTCTCATAGTCCTGGAGGCTGGGAAGTCCAAGGTCAAGGTCCCAACTGATTTGGTTCCTGGTGAGGGCCTGCTTCCTGGCTCACAAATGGTTGTTTTCTTGTTGAATCCTCACATGGCAGAAAGAGATAGAGAGAGAGAGGGAAGAAAGAAGAGAGGGAGAGCTCTTCTCTTTTTATCTTCTTATAAGGGGCACTAATTCTATGACGAAGGCTCCATCCTCATGACCTATTTACCTCCCAAAGACCCCACCTCGGAACATCATCACATTGGAGGTTAGGGTGTTAACATACGAATTTTGAAGAGTCACATTCATCAGTCTATAACGCTCTTGAGATCCCCTGGAAGCCTGATTATTATGTTTCTGATGGATTGATTAGTGAGAATTACTCTTATTTCCCGACTCCCCTTCCCAGGTGTTAAGTTCCCCAGCTCCTTTCACCTTTATGTAATGTGTAATTCCTGTAATAAATCTGCTATTCCCAAAATACCCACAGGGGCTCCAATTCCCGGCTGAAGCATGTGTGAAGCAGGTGGGATGGGAAGAAGCATGGCTACTTTTCAGAGAGGCAAGAGGTGAGCTGGTCGGGAGAGTTGTCAATATGTTGAGAAGTAGTTAAAAATATGTTTGTGTTTGCCACAGAGTGGGGCTGGATTAGGGAGGACCTTGAAGGACGCAGTTAGGCATTAGATTTGGTGGCAAGTCAGAAACCGCCACTGGCCCCTTGACAAGTGAAATAAGAGGGAATCTGTAAAATCATAGGCTAGTGGCTTATCTTCCAAATTGGAAAATATGGGAAATATATGGTAGAAAGTTAATATAATCAAGCATATTAACAAAAATCATTGATTTTTTGAAGAGAAATATCAGAAATACTTATTGTGATAAATTGATATAGACATTAGAAATTTCATGAAAAGTTCTCACACTCAAGAGAACATGCAACATGCTCATTTTCTCATATAGAATGCAAGAGCTTAGAAATATGAAACCAAAGCTTGATAAATGAGCAATTTCTTTTCTAGACAGAGAAATGGGAAAGTTGGTCTTGGGAATACATGCCAAAACTAGGCATTTTTCATTTTTATAAATAATAAATAGTAAGCAATGCACCATGATGACACTCCAGTAATGTTTCTCGTGCATCAGAGTATGTCCTATGAGAACCTGTTTCTAAAAAAAGTGTGTGGGTAAAAGCTATACACTATATTCCACTTTGGGAATTCGCAGTACACCTGAGATATTAGCGTATAAAGGGCTCTGAACAGATGTGAAGTAGAGAAACCTGTTAATTTTGTCTAACCCGGTAGGTTTTTTTTTCAAGTTTTAAAATGCCCACTTTATTCCATATAACACTTAACCAGATGTCATTTACCTCTGAGGGAAAGATAGCCCTGAGACTGATCCACCATAAAACATTTACTGGAAGAAATGTCTGATTTTATGCATTTCAAGGCATCATGAGACAAGTGTCTCATCATGCAGAAACATGGGTATCATGACTACATTTTACATAAAATAAAAGGAAACTATCAATAAACTTCAGAAAGTTGTAAATTCAACTACTCCCTAAAATATGGTCATGCAGTTGTTACAAAGACATAGTAAATGTTTCTGGTATGCAGTTTTCTTTTATGTTACTCTGCTGTTGCATAGGGCATAACATTTACCCAAGGTTTTTTTTAAACTACAGACAATGTTTAGCAGCACTCAGCGGTGGGTCACCTCTCTCAATGGCCATCACTGGACAAATTGGACACCCTCCCACCCGCACACATATATGCATAGAAAAATACTCAAGTTTTAGACTTGGACCTGTGTACTTTAATTAACTTGCCCTTTCTAGTCTATTAGAAAATGATATGCACTTTAGTCTGCCAAAAGCAATGCTTGCATTCTGGCAGCAATGTGTTATTGCTTTTACATAGTAAAGCGGATAAGAGAACTTCAAAGGCAGGAGGTAAGTTTTTAATTTAAACAGCAGCAAATAAAGAGTAAATTAGAAAACTGCTGTCACAAATATCCATGATCTCCATAACGTATATAATACAGGAGGCATTTCAATTTGTGATCTCCAGCCTAGAAGTGTCAGAGGCTTTCCCATTCAGTCTAATATTTCTGGATTCTTGCCACAAGTGAATACATTAAAATTATGGAAGAGTTGCTTACTGAAAGGAAATCCCTGAAAAATAATAAGGGAGGAAATGTAGAAACTCATGTCATTTAGAACACTCTTTAATTATAATGAACTAGATTTCCATATATTTGAAGTAATACCAAACACAGTCACTTGTAGAACTAGTCCAGATTCTTTAAATACCAGATGCATTTTTAGTCTTCTTTGTAAGTGTGTGGAAGTTACTTATGTTTATATGAAATGAGGTTATTCATAATTTTCTGCAGTAGTCACTATAAACCAGAAAGACTGAGACAAGCAGAAATCAAGACATGGAGTCTCCCAGAGCTGCAATGAGAAACAGACTGTAACAGCTGATTCCATACACATGAATGGGTTTCTTTTCTATAGGAAATCCCAGTGAAATAAGGAGTGGAGATGTCTAGAGGGTTCCTCGAGGAGAAGGATGCTCCCAACATGCATTTAGCTTCCTCTCCCTCTGCTGTAGCACATTCTTCTCCTGCATGGTCTTCCTTCAAGTTTGGTTGATTCTAAGGCCTGAATGATGAGGGTGTTGTCTTTGTAAGTTTTCATTCTGTCAAAAGTCATTTTGGTCAGTGTGTGGGCAAGTTCTGCATTATTAAAAATCACCTAGTGGCTGGGTGCAGTGGCTCATGCCTGTAATCCCAGCACTTTGGGAGGCCAAGGCGGATGGATCACCTGAGGCCGGGAGTTCGAAACCACCCTGACCATCGTGGAGAAACCCTATCTCTACTAAAAATACTAAATTAGCCAGGCATGGTGGCACATGCCTGTAGTCCCAGCTACTCAGGAGGCTGAGGCAGGAGAATCGCTTGAATCTGGGAGGTGGAGGTTGCTGTGAGCCGAGATTTCGCCATTGCACTCCAGTCTGGGCAACAAGAGCAAAACTCAGTCTCAAAACAAACAAACAAACAAACAAAAATCTCCTAGCAAAATCCAGTAAAGTTAAGAGCTAGCCCCAGGCAACTTGTTTGTGTGGCTCCCATCTCTGCCTTGCTATTTCAAATGCCTCTTGGTAAGCAGGCTCCTTGGGAATTATCTGTGATATGTTTTCAATCATCATCCCATGCAGTGTCAGCAAGGTAATGGAATTAATTTTCCTTCATTTTGGGAAAAAGACCTTGCTTTCTGAATCAGTTATACTGGCTATTAAATACATATCTGACACTTCCAGGACTAGGATGGGAATGCAGATGGATCTCAGGTTAGGCTTCACTTTCTCCAGATAGTCCTTTATCAACTGGTGTTTCTTATCTCTTTTCTGCTTGATGCTCTTGATGCCCTACAGGTGGACCTGCGGCAATGGCACCACCTTCGCCTTGGGGCAAGGGGATGGCCTGCTGCATTGTTTTCTCTGTAGCAGGGTGGCTGCATGCTGTGGTGGCCAGCACTGCCTGGATGAGACAAGTATGTATCATGACATTTTACATAAAATAAAGGAAAACTATCAGTACACTTCAGAAAGTGGTAAATCAAACTATCTCTCTTTTTTTTTTTTTTTTTTTGAGATGGAGTCTCACTCTGTTGCCCAGGCTGGAGTGCAGTGGCATGATCTCAGCTCACTGCAACTTCTGCCTCCTGGGTTCAAGTGATTCTCCTGCCTCAGCCTCCTGAGTAGCTGGGATTACAGGCACCTACGACCATGCCCAGCTAATTTTTGTATTTTTAGTAGAGACTGGGTTTCACCGTGTTGTCCAGGCTGGTCTCGAACTCCTCACCTCAGGTAATCCGCCTGCCTCGGCCTCCCAAAGTGCTGGGATTACAGGCATGAGTCACTACACCAGGCCAACTATCTCTTAAAATATGGGCACGCACAGGTGTGGTGGTGGGCGCCTGTAATCTCAACTACATGGGAGGCTGAGGCAGGAGAATCACTTGAGCCCGGGAGGCGGAGGTTGCAGTGAGCCGAGATCATGCCATTGCACTCCAGCCTGGGCGACAGAGTGAGACTCTGTCTCAAAAAAAAAAAAAAAAAAATGCGGGCATGCAATTGTTACAAAGGCATAGTAAATGGTTTCTAGTATGTAACCTTATCTACGAACTAGAAATCTGCACTTTATCTCTGTGAAGCCCACCAGAGTCCCATCACTCTGATCTGCACTGGTCTTCAGTGGCAGACTCTCCTGTCTCCAACCCAGTGCATTTAAAACATTTTGAAAATTGTTTCATTAGTGCCTTCCAGGTAGTGAAAAACCAACCTGTGAAGGGAAAAGGTTGAAAAAAGGTATTGAATAGATGGGGGTAAGTTTAAAACTTGGTCTGTAAATTTTATTGAGACTCTGTTGAAAGTGCTTAGGGATGAAAATAATCCAATATGTATGAGTTTATATACGCAAAATATATGTTTATTGTATTTTGTGCATAAAATGTACATATTGAATTATTATGTGTGTATATATACATATACAGTACATACACATTTTCTCACACACATACACAGACACACACACACACACATTCAATAGATGGCTCTGAGTCATGACTAGGAAAGACATTTTAAATTGCTCCCAGAAAACGTAATCTCAAAATAATTGTAGAACAGAAAAACGATTTAAAAAAAAGTGCTATCATTAATGAGACCACTGAAAAAAGAAAATGACTTAATTCTAAAACTTAAATTTGAAATATTCTGGAATGTTCTGTGCATTTACTATTAACTTAGCAAATACTATATGCAGTATAGGTGGTGTGGTAGAGCAGAAAACAAAGCAGAACATACCCATTCTCCTGGAACTTGAATTTTAGTGAGAAGAGAGGGGAAACAGGCAGGCAGAGATATGATGTATATGGTGGTGCTATCGTGCCCAAGACAACCTTAATGCTGCCTTCAGCTTGATTCAGCTTTAGACAGGCTTCTTCCTGACTCTTGTTCCCTGATCTCCCTTTTCTTGAAAATGTGTTTAATTTGTAAATTCCTTATCTGCCTTTTTGAGATATTATAAATGCCTTCTGCTGGTTTTGCAACCCAGGAATATCTTTTTCAAAGACCTGGGAACCATCTCTTTGAAATCCAATTGGCAAGGAAGACAGCATCCCTGTCTACCAGCCTCTACAAGAAGGCAAGAGCCTAACCTTGGTGGGGCACCTTGCTCCAAGTTGTAAAACTGCCTCCTGTCACAAGGACATGAGAAAATTTACTTTTCCCTTGGGTAAAGCCAATTCGCAAAAACAGGTGTGGCCTAAGGTCCCTCATCCCAGATTTTAAGGATTCTCCAACCATTCATTTCATCTAGAGCTGGGCTGTGTTTTCTTCCCTATGCTGGCAATAATACTGGAATAAAATCAACTTCTATTTGCTTATCTTACCTGGTACAATTTTATTTTAACAAATGGAGGGTAAGGAGTCAGAGAGTTTGGCAGGTCAGGGTATGTGTTATAAAATGTGATTAGAACAAAAATTTTTGACACATGTCATATTTGGGCAGAGAATTAAGTGATGTGAGGGAGTGAGCTGTGTGGATCTGCAGTGGATGAAATTTTTATGCAGAGGGAATAGTCTATATGGGCTGAGGTAGGAGTGTAAATGAAGTACATGGATGAGGCCACATGGAAGGACAGAGTGGAGCAGGAAGACAGAGGTGAATGTTTGAGAGGTGATAAGGAGTCAGGTCCTGTGGTGCCGTATAAGCCATTGGGAAGACTTGGGCTGACACTCTGAATGGGATGGAGGAGGGACTCAGAGGAGTCTTCGGGGTAGAGGAGTTAACTGTATGGCTTATGCTCAAAAATAGCTGCTGTTTTGAAGGGAAAATATTTAGGAAAACAAGGGTAGGGCCAGGGAGACCACTCTGGAGCTATTACAATAATGTAGGCAGAGGGATGATGTGGCCTTACACTGGGGCTGGTAGCCACGGGGATGGTGAGAAGAGGTGGTGTTTGGACATATTTTAAAGGTTAAGGCCTTGCAGATTTGCTGCAAAACTGGATGTGCAGTATGTGAGTGAGAGACAGCTGAAGGATGACTCTGAGGTGTTTGTCCTAAGCAAATGGAACAGTGGCATAATCAAGATGGGGCCACTGCAGAAAGAGCTGCTCCAGGCAGGGTTAGGTCCATTTGTACACAGAGCCTTCTTTGTTCCTTACAAAAGTTCTGTGAATGTACTATTATTGTCACTTTGAAAGGGAGAAATGGAATTTGTGAGAATATGAGTAATTTTCTCAGGATCACACAGCTAGGAAAAGGTTGTCTCAGTCTGAGTTGCCCTGAAAACTTGGTCCGAGGAAAACTTGTGTGCAGGTGGTTTATGTGGGAAACAGAGAAGCCCAAGGTGTAGGAGTGAGAGCAGGAAAGAGGAAAAACCCATGTGAGGGCTGTTACTGAATTTGCAGGCAATGAAAGCTAAATTCTACCAGGACTCCTTGAAGCCTCAGAATACCTGCCAGAATTGTCTGCCAGAGGATGTGAGGAGGAGCACTCTCCCTGCTTGGCTCCCGTTTCCTGGAAATTGAAGGTTGCCTGTGGGAGGGTTTACTCCCCTCACTTCTGAGCTTCACATTCGTGCAGTTCTAGAGCTTCTTCTCCATGTCTGTGGTGTCAGGAGAATCCCAGGGCAGAAAATGAAGATCTTCAGTACCATGCCAGGCCAAATATATGTATTCATATGTATATATTCATACAAAGTGCAACTCATATGTATATTCATATTTATATTCATATAACATACACATTCATATATATTATTACATATATTTGAATGATCGGGAGCCAGTGAAATAAAGCAATGCTTATTTATGAAAGAACCAGCCTTTGAACCCAGATTAGGATGCCCAAGCCCTTGGGTCTGAGACTCCCCAGCTGCCACAAACCTGTTCCTGGGCTCACTTTCACCATTAGCTCCACCCTTCAAGGCTCTCTTTAGTCCCACCTTGCTTTGTAATTGGGTCAGAATGATGGGGGAAGCTGTGAGTGAGGCTGGCTGATGATTTTAACTCACCTCACACTAGCTTAATTAGCACTGACCCAACCTGAAGCCTGGGACTCAAGGAAATGCACTGAAAACCTGGGGCTCGACGTGGTGGTATGGAGGAATGGTGCTTTGGAAATAACTCATATAATTATTCGAGTTCTGCTATTCTCATTCTTGCTGGATGTGACCTAGTTAGGTCATTCTTCATCTCTGGGTCTCCATTTTCTCACCAGTAAATGAAGGATTTAGAGCTGACCTGCATAACATTCTAACTCCAGTGTTCTGTAGTTCTATGAGACTTATGATGGGTGAATAATCCTAAAAATGCATCTTTGTGGTGATAAAAAAGAAAACTCCCAAGTTTTAAACAAAAATGGCATTTTTCTGAGTACTTCTTTTCTGTGGGATGCTATGTTCCTGGGGAAATCCATGCACAATCATGCAAATTATTTCCTATTGTTTCTGCAAGTTCACCTTGTTGAAATCCAAGGCTGTAATAGCTTCAGCTGCCTGTTTGTGAAAGTAACAAAAGCAACTGGGATGATGCTAGAATGTTAAAATGCTGATGATAATCAGCATTTGGGTACACACTTGCTTTAGTTGGAGGCAACATTTTGGCTTAAGAAGAAGACTCAAGCCTCCAGCCAGAAAACAAAAGCATAGAAAAAAAGTTATCCTTCCTACTCTCGTTTTACCCAGCTATTTAATCTCTGTAATTATTTCTGTGACTTTGAATGTTATTTTGTTTTATCAGGAACTGGAGGTCAGGATGGCAAATAGGATAATATTTTTATAAAGATTATCATGTCATTTTCTCATTACATTCTCGGGGAAAACTGAAATGAGTTTACACAATATACGTTTTAGTACACTGGCATGATAATGGTTATAATACGTTATTTCTAGTAAGCACTATTGGCTAAGATGTTGTCATCACCCAAGCAGGTTAAATCTATGGGCTACTGAGTGTGAAATGCATTACAGTAAAAGCTTTGAGGGATGTTAATTTCTTTGGTTTAATTTCTAAAAAGACAGCTCGGATATTTCCTTGACAGGAGAGATTGCTAAATCCAGTCAACCAAGAAACAATTATGTATGTTTTAAAATGCAGAGGAAAGATGGATCAATTATCTCTTTGTTATTCCTCACAGTTCTGCATTGAGTGCCATTTAGGATTCAGAAGTTAATTCCTTACTGCATGAAGAGGGCATCATCTATCCTTGTAATTGATGTCTTTGCACCATTTCTTTTCCCATCAATACTTTGTGTGGGAACATGCTCAACAGTGCAGCCTGTCAGAGCCAACATAAAATTGTAATTAACTGTCATGTATTGGTGGAAACCTGAAGCGAGAGAATGCATGTATCCCTTAAAGTATTTGGAGCTTTCAAAAAGTAGGCAATGTGATTTCCAGCATAAAGATGGGGCAGCTGATCAGAATGCATTTTTATGTCTGGTGCCAAGTAATAATTTGGAGAAGGGTAGGAGAATGACCCTCTCTGGAACTGGCCTTAAAGTGTTTGAGAAAAAAAAAACATTATTTCCTTCCAATAACTACAATATTGGAAAACAGTCTTTTGGGAAAGGGTAAGATTTTACTAAAAGTGAGATTTCTTTCTCTTTCTGAGATAGTGACGATGGCTGCATGATATTGTGAATGTGCTTAATACCACTAAAACATGTACTTATAAATAAAGTGGTAAATTTTATCTTAAGTATATTTTAGTATGATCAAAAAGATTTATTTTTTTCCTCTATATCTTTTTTCCAAAAAAACCAAAATAATGCAACAATATATGAAAACCAAGTTAGATTAAACCTATTTGAGATTCAAGAGATAAATGTTTGTTTATTTAGGCTTACAAACTATTGGTCACTATGGCATCTGAGTTTTATGTGTCTCACTTTTTAAAAACTGGGAATCAATTTCCCTTCCAATGTTATGCTGTTTAAAAGATTAGGGCTCTTTTCTTTTTTGAGAAGAATCCAAAGTAGCCCATCTTGTTTTTTACAAAGAAGAAAAACCATTGAGAAACACTTTCTGATTTTCCTAGTTCTTACTACAAGGGAGCAGGTAGAGATGGTGGAGCTGGGAGAAATAAACAGAGGTTAAAATCCTTATATAACCATGAACTCTACTGGTAAATTGAGGTTTCTAATGTTTAAGTAACTGGTTAAGCTGGTGAGGATACCAGAGACATGCAAGACAACCCAGGGTGGTATACGAATTTGAACAGTTGCTTGATATTTTAAAATGACAGTAATATGTTAGTGTTTATAGGCATTTGGCATAGTATTTTTTATTGGCTTAGAGGAAAATACACAATTTTATTTGATATTATTAAAAATTTATTTCCCACATTTGTTTTCTTGGTGGGCATCTTTTAGTTCTTGGCAACGAAAAGAAGAAATGCTTATGGTAGCACCAAGTGGAGAGAACAAATTGTTTCTCCTAATCCCCACAGTGAATTGTTACCACCAAGAGTCAGATTGGTTTCACATTGAGCCTTGAGGTCTTTTATTTTCGAGGTTGGAGCAGAAATCTGCTTTGTCTGCTCAGTACACTCTCATCTTCTGAACACCTAATGTATTCTTTGAAACATCTTCTCTCTCCAGTGTTTTGGGGATTACCATGTTTTGACATGTTTTAATTCCCTAACCACAGTGGATTGGCCCAGAAATGGATGCATGCCCTGATTTTGCCTATAGCTCATTGGCTGATGGTGGGCAAGTGAACCAGGAGTCTTTGGATGGGATTAGGGAAGGGGTGTGTGCTGGTGGTAGTGGTGGAGGTGGAAATGCTTTGTTTGAGGCCATGTTTTCCTCCTTTGTGAGGGAGAGAACAAAGTCTAGAAGCCAAGAAAAGTGGAGACAGTAAATGCAGGTAAATGAACATATATGTAGTGTCCTGGTGGCCTGTCAGACCCTACTTTCAGCCACCATGAGACATCTGTCTATCCCATTTAGATGCTGAAGTATCCCTTTGGTTATATGAGATAACCCAATTTCCTTCCATTAAATACATTTTATTTTCTTAAGCTGTGTTTTAGTTGATTTGGTTCTGGCACTTGCAACTAAAAGTCTTGGCTAATACAAAGGTGAACCTCTTCAATGGGTACGTGAATTTTGGAATTGGATTCCTTCCTTTTTTGTGTGTACCAAGAATGGTCATCCATGAAAAATCTAAATATTTTAAAGGAGGGTTTTTTTGGCCAGCTATCCAAATTCATGATGTAATTCCTCATAGTGGAAAAAGGTCATTTTAGTCTCTGTTGAAGGGTAGGATGGGGTGGTGAGTCTTCAATCTCTGTGGTTTGGCTTCTAAGGATGGAAGAAAGAATTATGTTTTGTAAAATGCATTCCCAAAATTGGTAGCAAAGTAGATTAATATTTTGACAGAACCACTCAGGGCCTGTTAAATACTGGCAATATGTGTTTTTTTTTATTGGTCAAGATTTAAATGTAAAGGTAAGGGCATCTTTGATAGCCCCAGAATATTAAAAGTGTTCCAATTTTGAACAGCTAAAAAGAAATTAATTTCTCTATATTTCCTGCCTCATGTTGTTTTAAGAAGAAGGCTCTCACAATGCAAGTAGTGTTTTTCACTCCAGAAAGAAAAGACCTCTTTTTCCATGAAAGAAATTTTTTTTGAGAATATTTTTCAGTCTGTAAAAAGAAAGTGATATGCTGTAACATCTATCCTATGCCTTTAAAGGTTGGACGTAAAGACTGAACAATTGCAGTACAGGATCCTTAACAGAGGTGAGATCTAAAAGAAGATGAATCCCCTGGCATTGTTCTTCAGAGAAGCCCACTGTGGAGTTTCTCTTTGTTAACATGTTGCTTTATCTCAAGACGTGTTAAGGCCTTTCAAACGGCAATTCTTAGAGTCTTTTATATTTTGACTTAAGGAGTCATTCCATTAGAACAGATTTGCAAATAGGTAAAAAACAAAACAAACCAAAACAAAAGAACAATGTTTAGTAACAGTATGTGGGAACAGTGATATCTTAAAGTGTCTGCCAGGTACATAGCTCTCCTCTCAAAAAAGCAGCTGCAGGAGGATTT
Source organism: Homo sapiens (assembly GCF_000001405.40). NCBI lineage: Eukaryota > Metazoa > Chordata > Mammalia > Primates > Hominidae > Homo > Homo sapiens. The sequence goes on from NC_000001.11 coordinate 238,116,265, forward strand.
GTTTCCTCAAAATGTGCTATGCTTTGTGACATAATCTGGATACCGTGGCCACCATTGTTTGGATTAGGGACCTGGGTCTGTCCTGGAGTAGCCATACAAAAATGAAACATGAGGATATTTGGTGAGAGAAATTTGTCAGCAGAATTCTCTATGCTGGATAGTGACTGATAAGCTAAATCTTCTCTCTATTCTTTGGCATTTGCGATGTGAGACCCAAGAAAATGTGGCAGTTTAGAGCAGCCAAGTTGAAGCAATCCTAATTTCAGCCAGAAATAGGAGCCCATGTATAGAAACCATGGGCCGTGGGGATGGTGGAACTAATTGTTTCTGTAGGGAACACGGTTTGAGGGTCCTTGGCCTCTGCTGTCTTCAATGAGTTTCCTGTTCTGCATGATACCAGGTAATCCAACTTACGGGAAGGTTTCTTGTTTCCTTACATCCCTGAGTATTCATCTATAAAGTCTCTATTACTTTAAGGTGTCTTGAGAAAATCTATTTCTTAGAATATAAAGGGAGTTAGGCAACAAAATAAGCCAATAGGTTATAACCAACTACTTTCTAGCACACTTGTAGAGGGAGATAAAAGAAAAAGTAAAATAAGTGAAATTTGTTATACTCAATACAAATTCATAATAAATAGCAAATATATATATAGTATGTGAAACAAAAATAAAATACTAAGGTTCCCCCAACCACCTGCATGGACTTCCTCCTCAACCAGGGCACTCTGGTTTTTGTTTTTTTTTTTGAGACAGAGTCTCGCTCTGTCGCCGAGGCTGGAGTGCAGTGGCGCGATCTCAGCTCACTGCAAGCTCCGCCTCCCGAGTTCACGCCATCCTCCTGCCTCAGCCTCCCGAGTAGCTGGGACTACAGGTGCACGCCGCTATGCCCGGCTAATTTTTTGTATTTTTAGTAGAGACGGGGTTTCTCCGTGTTAGCCAGGATGGTCTCGATCTCCTGACCTTGTGATCCACCCGCCTCGGCCTCCCAAAGTGCTGGGATTACAAGCGTGAGCCACTGCACCCGGCCCAAGCAGGGCACTCTTAAAATGTAACCTGAAAGACTGGTTCAGGCCATGATGGGAAGTGGGGGTCTCACATGACTCATATACCTCTCTGGCATTAACATCAATACAGACTTGAAGTCTGATAAGAAACATGTTAACCTATTCTCTCTGAAGCCTGCTACCTGAAAGCTTCTTCTGTAAAGAGCTTTGGTCTCCACAGTCCTTTATCTTAACCCAGACATTTCTTTCTATTGATCCCAGGTCTTTAGAGAAACTCAATCAATTGTCAACCAGAACATTTTTAAATCTACCTGTAAGCTGGAAGCCCCCCAACAACCGCAGCCCCACGCCCGCCTCCGCTCTGAGTTGTCCTGCCTCTTAAATGTATCAGATTGAAATTTCATGTCTCTCTAAAATGTATAAAACCAAGCTGCACCTCAACCACTTAGGCACATGTTCTCAGGACCTCCTGACGGCTATGTCATGGGTCATGGTCACTCATATTTGGCTCAGAATAAATCTCTTCAAATATCTTGCAGAGTTTGACTCTTTTAGTTGACAAGCATTTACTTTCTGGCAGACACTAATGTACAGATACACATTTATTTAATCCTGATGACACAACCCTATAGAGAAGGTACTGTTATCATCCTTATTTCACATATGTGGAAACTGAACCACAGAGAGGTTAAGTAACTTGCCCAAAGTCACGCAGGTCATCGATGGTAGCACTGAGTCATCAGCCCAGGCATTCGGACTCCAGGGTACTGGCTACGAACTGCCACGCTATATCGCTACCATACATTTCTACAGGTGTCTGACTTTATTAAAATACTTGATAATCAGAATATGTTACCAATTATGTATGTTTTGGCCTTGGATAAATTACTTAATCAGCCTATGTTTGTTGCATTTAGCAGAACTGTATAATAGAGTAAAAGGCATTTTTCTTGCTACCTTAACATGGTTTTTGTGTGAACAGAGTGTGATCAGCGATGTCAAAACCAGAAAAAGCACTAAATAAGCATAAGACATTATTGGAGCTGTGCTTGTAAAAACCACCCTGCAAGCCAAAGCTTATCTGCAAGATATCAATCAGAACCTGGTGACACTGCCATAGGACACATTTAGAGTAACCTTTTTCTTTATTTTACTTTATTTTACTTTAAGTTCTGGGATACATGTGCAGAATGTACAGGTTTGTTACACAGGTATACATGTGCCATGGTGGTTTGCTGCACCCGTCAACCCGTCACCTAGGTTTGAAGCCCTGCATGCATTAGGTATTTGTCCTAATGCTCCCTCTCCCCTTGTCCCTCACCCCCTGACAGCCTCCGGCGTGTGTGTGTTGTTCCCCTCCCTGTGTCCATGTGTAGAGTAACCTTTTTCTTAAGTAATGCAACCCAACCGTGAAAAATTGTTCAGCTAAAGAAAGAAAAAATAATTTGGTCTAAATTTCTAGAATTTAGACTAAAATGTTTGTACATTGGGGGTTGTGAGATCATAGATTCAGATAGTTATAGGTGAAAGGAATACTGGAGATTAGTATAAAATTAAAACTAATGGCCACTGTGATCTTTCCTGACCTTCTAAAGATGGATCAGGCACTCTTCCCTTGTCTTTACTTAGCATTTTTAAATTGTCCTGATTAAAGGGCATGTTTTATTGTAAATACTCCTGTGCTTGCATATCTTCCTGTTGGATCTTAGAGGCTAACTTGAGGCAAAGAGAATACACATATTGATTGCAATTAACTGTATCCACTCTGATAGAATGGAGTTTGTAATTTAAAAAAGGGAGGGAAGTTATATTTGTTGAACACCTGAATACGTGACAGAGATTGAGTTCATGTCATGTGTTGAATAATTTCCAAAACTGCTCATATGGGGCATTTTCTGAACCGCAGATTAAACTCAGTCCAAGACTAGAGTTGGTGCAAAATCACTGAGGACAGTAACCTTGGTCCTATGGGGAAATAGTCGGCAGGGGGCAGGAGGCATTCAGAACTTGCAGCTAATCTGCCCTCACTCACGTAGGAAACTCTGAGCTTCTTTGCTGCTCTGGACTGTGAAAAAGGAATACTTGCCTGGTCATCCCATTCTAAATGTTTCTTCTGCTTTCAGCTTCATAGGCTTGGAGAAGTCTGAGGTCTTGCTGGCTTCATGGGAAATACCCTGTCCTATTTGCTCCCTGAGCTCTGAGACTATCTTGAGCTTCTATCTTTATTCCTTCATGCTCGGAGGAAGCTGCACAAGCTAGGAAGAAACTGTTGCATACCCAATATCCAGCCTCCATTCTTCCTTTTTAACAGAAGACTGATTTGGGAAAACAATATATTTCTTAGCTCTCCCAGCCCACACCTGGTAGCTAGGGTGGTCACTGAAATATAAGTAGAATTCCTTGAGTGGGGATGGTGGGGAAATATATAAAAGGCAATTAACTTTCTTGGGAGGCTTCTCTTTTTGCTAATTGCTTTTCCTCTTCTTACTTAGGATGCATACTTGATGTCTAGAATGCCAGCAGCCATCCTGTGACTATGGGACAAATGTGAGGGCGGAAGCCAAGGACTGAGCATGGCAGAACAGAAAGATAGAAACAACCTTTGTCCCTAATGGCCTGGTAGATTTGTGCTAACAATGCCTTACTGCCTACCACTCTTGTTTTTACATGAAAGAGTAAGCTACTATTCATTGAGTCACTTTACCCTGGTCTCTACTTCTGGCAGGCAAACAGAGGTCCTTTTTCTTTATTCCACATCAGCCATGTCAAGGCAGACTGAATGGAATTTAAGAATAGCATTAGAGGATTCATGACCTAATTGATGAGGAATTGTTCTGTTGGACACAGACATCCCTAAAGTCCAAAGGCCATGCTTCCTACTCCTCTCTGTCACCAAGTTGCTGGGATCTGTTACTACTCAGAGAGATCCTTCTCTTTTAATTCCTCGTTTCCTTCTCTCTTTCTGGTCCTCATAAATAGAAATGGGTGGAAAAATACCTTAACATACAAATATATTTTCTGCAGAAATCTATTCAAGCCATTAATGGGTTATTTGCATAATTTTCATCATTAATTAGTTGAAACATTTGCATTTGGACTCATTCACAAGTGCCTGGGGCTCCTCCATGGACAGTGATCCCACACTTGACTTACTTCTCAGTGGCCAGGACAGCTCTGTCAAGGAATCCTTCTCAGAACAGAAAGTATCTATACTCAACCCTGAAAAATCCAGTTTTCACCTTTATACTCCTGGAAGCAAATGTTGGCAATTGAAGAATAACTCATTTCCTTCTAGCTGGCAAGGCTTCAGAAATAATCAAGTACGTTCTCTGAGCGCCCCTCCACATGCATCTCTCTGGTGGCAAGGAGATCCTGAGACATTTTATTGAGAAAGCAATGGAAAATGGAAGTAACTGTGTGTATTGATCAAATAATACTGATTTAAAATAACAAAGCATCACTAACATTTTTTTGATGAATATAGTTATATCCCGTTGAATGAGAAAGGAAAAAAATCCTTCAGTATTTGTGGGTATGGCCATATGTTCCTGACTATGACTTCCCTACCACAAAAACTACCAACTACAATTCCTGTCTCACAGATTTTTTTTTAATTTTATGAACTCTTTCTATATATGTCTCCTATAAACTGTAATCTCTTCATAAAAAAGGAATATTTTCACCCTGATTCTAGCCAAGGTCTCAGAAGTGGAAGTAAATGATGAGAATTAATTTTAACTTTAACAATACAGACAGAGCATATTGTTTTATACACCAAGAAAATGAAAAACAATACTCACTGAACTTGGTTACCACTGAAATCTGTATCAAGTTACAACAATAAACAAAAGAACTCTTAATGATAAGTAGGGCATAAGATAAAAACAAACTGTAAGTTGTTCTTTCTAATTTGCCTTTAAGACACAAGAGTAGTGTAACATGAAACGGTAACACTGACAAAAATAACCTATTAGTCAACTTTTCTGTTTTTCAATTTTCAAACTCAACGTGCTGTTAAAGTTTAATTTAAAAATAGTTATAGCTATTAAATGTCTCCAAAGCAAGCAACTTACCTGAAACTTGCTCAAAACTACTATGGAGAAAGGAAAGGAACCAGTGTTCATTTGGTTTCTTTTGTATTCCAAGCTTTTTACCTTAGTTGTTTCCATTTAATTTTCAAAACAATTCTGCAAAGGAGACATACTTAACACTATTACACATGGGACGAAATTGAAGCTCAACTAGAGGCAGTTTACCACGTTCAAATAACTGGTAAGTGAGGGTAAGTGAGGGAAGTTGATGTTAAAACTAGGTTTCTCAAGCTCTGTATTTTTTCACCATTATATGATGTTTTGGTGTTTGCTGTTATGAAGGGACAACTAAAATGTAAGAACAAATAATGGCCAGGATTACAGTGACTCACACCTGTAATCCCAGCACTTTGGAAGGCTGAGGTGGGAGGATTACCTGAGGTCGGGAGTTTGAGAACAGCCTGGCCAACATAGCGATAGCCTGTCTCTACTAAAAATACAAAAATTAACCAGGCATGGTGGTGCGTGCCTGTAATCCCAGCTACTCGGGAGGCTGAGGCAGGAGAATCACTTGAACCCGGGAGGCAGAGGTTGCAGTGAGCTGAGATCGTGCCACTGTACTCCAGCCTGGGTGATAAAGTGAGATTCCATCTCAGGAAAAAGAAAAACACACGCAAAAACAAACAAACAAAACAAATAAGTTTATAAGATGATGTGAGTTCTGTAGGCTAATACAAATGCGTAATTCAAGAAATTAGAAGCCAAAGCCGGGCATGTTGGAATCTTTCCTACCTGAAGGTAAGGTTAGCAGTTGACTCTAGGTGGAGCATAGGCTTCATGAACACTGACAAGGCACAGTGGCCGCCCTCCATCAGCTAGAGACAGTGGGCTAGCAGTTCCCCACGAGGCACAGAAATAGGGTAGGCCATGGATAAGGAGCTACAGCATCCAAAGAAGGGAAACCTATTTGGTTACAGCTTTCCAAACTATGTCCCATGTGTATTAGTCAGGGATCTCCAGGGAAACAAAACCAGTTATACACACACACACACACACACACACTCACAATTTTATATATATATATGTGTGTGTGTATATATGTGTGTGTATATATACGTATGTATGTATGTGTATATATATATACGTATGTGTATGTGTGTATAAACACACATATAAAGAGAAAGAGATTTATTATAAGGAAGAGCCTCATGTGATTATGGGGGCTGATAAGTCCCAAGATCTGTAGAGTGAGTTAGCAAGCTGGAGACCCAGGAAAGCCAATGATACTTTTCCAGTTCAAATCCAAAGGCCTGAGAAGCAAGAGAGCTCATAGTGTAAATTCTAGCCCAAAGGCTGGCAGGCCTGAGACCCAGGAAAAGCTGATGTCTCAGCTCAAGTAGGAAGACAGAAAAAAAATGATGTCCCAGTATTGAGGTAGGTGGAGTCCCCCCTTATCTGAGGGAGAGTCAGTCTTTTAGTTCTATTCAGGCCTTCACCTGTTTGGATGAAGCCCATCCACATGTGCTTTACTCAGTCTGTTGATGGAAATGTTTATCTCATCCAAAAACAGCCTCACAGAAACACCTAGCATCTACTCACCTAGCATCTAAACACCAAACATCTAATCACCCCATGGCCAGTCAAAATTGGCATATGAAATTAACCGTCACACCACGTGCTTACATTTATGTTGTGGTGGAGTAACACCAGGCAGGACACAGGAAGGTTAAGCTTTGAGTGTCCCTTTACTAGTTACCTGCCATTGGTTTTAGTCAATTTATTTTCTCATGAGGACACTAAACTGTGAGGAGAAATGAGATGACATATAAAAGTGATTTACTGAACTGTAAAACACTTTTTAAAAAGTTATATTATTATGATCAGGGTGGTAGTTCAGAAGCATTAACTTTTCAGAGAATAGAGGATTCATACTTTGTAATCCAGGGTGTGACAGCAAGCTCACTGGCTGCTGAGGAAGCCCTTGTCTTCGGAGAGGACATTCAGTCACTTGAAGGGTGTCCTCACAGGGTGTCCTCCCAGGAGCTTCGCTGGAGGGAGGCAAGCAGGGAGGCATAACTGCTTTGCATCTGTCAAGCACTGCACTTTTTGAGTGAAGAGAAGAGCAGGCAGAGAAGCTGAGAATAGCAAGGTGTAATTACTGCATGATCCAGGCAGAGTGATTGTCTTACATCATCTCATAGGAAATTTTTTGGCTTCCAGGTCATTTTAAGAGGCAGAGAAAATAAAAATTCCATTCACAGGAGGAAGCATATGGCGCTATTGGATTGTGGAAATGAGAGGTCCAGCTAGTGGGGCTTTGCTGGCCATGGAACTTTTCTTGCAGTTCTTTCATGCATCAAATGAGCGAAAGTTAAAGGTGAACTTAATTGCTTTTGGGTTGTTTTCAGGATGGATGTGTTTTGATATATTCCAATTTTTTTCAGCAGACATATTCCCCCTTGGAAGGGAGAAACTCTTTAATGCTGTGCATATCCTAGGTAAAATCATTCAAGCTATTAAAATATGTTTTCAGAGAGTCAAGTTCAGAGGGAGATACTACTTATTAAATGTAAATAATACATTCTATCAGGTCGACAAACTCAGAAATTCTCTTAGACAATTTTATTTTAACATTCAAATTATTAACATGAATATTCAACTTAGTTTTTATTTTAAGACCCCATTCTGCCAAGATGACTGACTTTAATCTCAATAGATTTGGGTTCAAAGTTAAGCTTCAGGGGACTTATGTTTTCTATTTTGTCAGGTGCGGGATAGGTGGTTTTCTTTTTCTTCCTTTCTTTTTTTTTTTTTAATTTATTATTATTTTTTTTTAGAGAGGGTTTTTTTCTGTTTTCCAGGCTGGACTTGAGCCCCTGGGCTCAAGCGAGCCTACTGCTTCAGCCTCCTATGGCTAAGGTTAAGGTTTGTTTTTGTTTTTTGTGTTTTTGTTTTTGTTTTGAGTCAGGATCCCACTTTGTTACCCAGGCTGGAGTGCAGTGGCCCTTTCATGGCTCACCAAAGTCTCAACTTCCTTGGCTCAAGCGATCCTCCCATCTCAGCCTCCCAAGTAGTTGGAACTACAGGAGCACACTACTGTGCCTCGTTGCTTTTTAAAATTTTTGTAGGGATGGGGTTTTGCCATGAGATTAGGCTGTTCTCAAACTCCTGGCCTCAAGTAACCCTTCTGGCTCAGCCTCCCAAAGTGCTGGGATTATAGGTGTACCTGGCCCTAGGTTAGGTTGTGATGGCTGTGGCAGGATGGGAAAGCAGGTGGATCTGGTCTTTGATATATCAACTAGCTTTCAGCTGAGATAACCATCTCTTTGTCCAAGATCTATAGCCCTTCCCATTTCACAGATATCTCTGTTGTTTTCCCTTTAATGATATCCTGTGTATCCTGGAAATCACTCATCATTTCATGGAGATATTTCTTACTCTTTTTTTTTTACAGCTATATAGTTTTACAATTCTTCTGTTTGTTAACTTCGGTAGTTTCCAGTATTTTAAAATTACAAATACTTCTGTAATGAATGGCCTTCTTCATATGTATTTTGTGTTGTTGAAGGTATATTTTCAGTGCAAATTCTTAGAGGAATAACAAGGTCTCCTTGGGGAAATGCCTAACTTTGGGCCTGAAACAGGAAAGATATGAGGTAACCTGAATATCTTGTGATAGAAAGTAAGAAAGTGCTCCAAAAGTGATAGGAGCATGACAAAAAGACACCGGAGCAAGTTTGAATGAGTTCCAACTGGTCAAATCAGGAACAATTTGAGCACCAAAATAAATAAGTGTCCAAGGCTGAATGTGAAAGCACCTTTGTCACATATGGACCAGTTCCCCTCCACAAAGGAAGTTTTGTTCTGCAGCTCCGTTCAGCAACCCATCAAGTGCTTGGTTCTCTACCTTTTGACAACAGAGGATATTGTTATGATTTTGAGTTTTTGCCTATTAGTGAAGAATGATACCTCTGTGTAATTTTAATTTCCATTTATCATACTATAAAATAATTTGAACATTTTTTCTAGTCTGTTTTCCATTTTTCTATAGAAAGTGTCTTAAACCTGCACTTGTACCCTTGAACTTAAAAGTTAAATAAAATATAATAAATGTTGTATCCCCAAAATTTTAAAAAGTATCTTCTGTATTCTCTTAATTTTAAATGTCATTATTTGTATTTTAGGGATATTAGACGTTTGTTGGTCATATATGTTGCAAACACTTTATTCCAGTGTGTCATTTGTCTTTCAACTGTGCTTATTTTTTTTGTTTTGTGCCAAAGTATTTAAACATGTTTATATAAGCAATTTATCAATCATTTCTTTTTTTATTTGTATCTTTTGTTATAATTAGAAAACTTTACGTTACTCTCAGGTTATATAAAAAATTCATCCATGTTTTCTTCTAGAACTTACGTAGTTGCATTTATTACATGTAGCTAGGGGCTTGGGATGGGGTTTCTTTTTCTCTATTGCATTTTATTAGTTTGGTTTATATTCCTCTTTTATTTTGCTTTCTAACATTCTGCATTCTTGGTGGCATCTTGAATTTCCCTTATATCCCAGCATGCTTTTAGTTTTCTTTCTGTGCTTAGATTGAGGCATAGTTTACAGAGAGAACCTGAAGTGCCTACCTTTGCCATTTTGCTATGTAGAATCTACAATAGTGTAGTCAGTACTGTCTAACAGAAATACGACTTGAGTCACGTATGTATTTTTAAATTTGCTATTAGTCACATAAACAAAGGGTAAAAGAAACAGGTGAAATTAATCTTAATAATGTAATTTATTTAACTCAGTATATCCAAAAGATTATAATTCCAACATGTAATTAACATAAAGCTTTTAAATATTTTTTTTACATTCTTTTCCCATGATCTTCCAAATCTGGTATGATTTCTAGACTCACAGCACACCTCAATTCAAACTAGCCACGTTCAAGTGCCCAGTAGCCACATGTAGCCAATGGCTACCATATTGGATGGTACAGAACTAGATATTCCTACTTATCCTCATGGAAGACACAACCATCAGAGTGATATATCTAGCATCCAGATTTTGGGAGACTTGATCCTGAAGGAAGATTTAAATAAGTTGATCAGCTCTGGGAATTTTAGAAATTCCAGGATAAGACCTCTGAGGCACAATTCTCCAAGTAGGAAGCAAAGATCATATATGTAGGTTCCTTTCTTTGGCTCCTTTATAAATGTTCTTAGAAGTCTTACCAAGCTGTGAGCAATATGCACAACTGGAAATCACTGTGCCAGTTGTTTACTTGTGGAGAGAGGCTCTTCTGCAACCATGATGGTGGAAAGCTTACTTTTTTCATCTTAGCATACTAGCAACATCACTAGTAAAATATCAAGATTCCATGAACCTTATTGAGTTTTGTTAGCCTAATGACCTAGGGAGGTTATGGCTATTAAGAATCCTAATATTTGGAAAAGGTAGACTTATGATTAAAACAAGCCCTATGTTTTTAGAGGTGATGACTGGGTACCGTTTTCTGTGTAAGTGAAATTTAGAACATCTACTTTTTCAGAAATGGTGATCAGTCATTCTTTTTTTTTATTTTTATTTTTATTTTTGAGACGGAGTCTCGCTCTGTCGCCCAGGCTGGAGTGCAGTAGCGCGATCTCAGCTCACTGCAAGCTCCGCCTCCCGGGTTCACGCCATTCTCCTGCCTCAGCCTCCCGAGTAGCTGGGACTACAGGTGCCCACCACCATGCCCGGCTAATTTTTTTGTATTTTTTTTTTAGTAGAGACGGGGTTTCACCGTGTTAGCCAGGATGGTCTCGATCTCCTGACCACGTGATCCGCCCTCCTCGGCCTCCCAAAGTGCTGGGATTACAGGCTTGAACCACCGTGCCCGGCCTCATTCTTAAGTGAAATAAGAAGACTAGAATGAAGATTATTTGCTGACATTGAGCAATGTTTGCTCCTTGAGTACTCTATTGTCCAGGACAACCTTGGAAAATGGACCATGAGTTATAAAACTGCTGCAATATAGGATATCACAAATCAGAGGGCAGAAGAAACAGTATAAAGATTGATTGATAAAGGCTGGGCACAGGAGCTCATGCCTATAATTTCAACACTTTGAGAGGCCAACACGGGAGGATCACTTGTGGCCAGGAGTTCAAGACCAGCCTGGGCAACATAGCAAGACCTTGTCTCTATAAAAAAATTTAAAAGTAGCTGGCCTGGTGGTATGCACCTGTAGTCCCAGCTACTCAGGAAGCCCAGCTGGAAGAATCGTTTGAGCCCAGGAGTTTGAGGCTGCAGTGAGCCATGATCATGCCACTGCACTTCAGCCTGGGTGACACACACACACACACACACACACACACACACACACACACACACACATATATATTCATATATATCATATTCATGGATATATATAATATATATCATATATATGTATAATAGTAATATATATAATTTTTTGATTTAAGAAAACTTTAAAGGATGTTCTAAGGCTCACAGAGTATTGTTAATCTTCTACCTAAAACCTTTTGAGACTTGATGAAATGTAAGGATCCCGAAAAAGCTGCATGTAAGTACATATAAACAGTATTTGCTAGCAATTGCAGGCCTGACTGAAATACATGAACTTCAGGTTAGTGGTGGGAAGCCCTGGTTCAATAGCATGTCTCATTTAAAGCAAAATGTAGTTATTTAGTAGTCTATTTGGCTAAGAATTGGAGACAGAGACAGCAAACTTCTATGGTCAGAAACAGATACCTGTCTTAATTTATGGGATTTGAGGAAGTAAAGATCAAAATCTTCAGGCTGTGAATCACACTTACTGATTAAGAGCCCTTAGTGCCCAACACTATGAGGAGCAACCCATGAAAGAAAAGTCATAAATATCCTCAAAGAAGAAAACAGACAGTACAGTAATATAGTCTGTAATCAAATGCGAACTGGTATAATGTAAATTTACAAATACAGATTGCAAAAAGCACATTTAAATACTAAGAGAATGTATATTACACAGAGTATAGTGATAGAGCTTACAATGTTCTTACTTCTGGTTTTCCACTAATAAATTCATATTCAGGGATTATAAATTTCCTGTGACACTTTGCTGAAGGTGCCATGGTTTAAGCTTACTGGCCTATTTCCTTCCTGCTTTTGCAGAAAAGTTGCTTTATAGTCAGGAATGAGCAGCTACAGGCAAGCACTCAAGTCAAGTTTCTGAGGCTTTGTCTCAAAAAGAATGTTACATCTTTGGCTAAGATAGTCTGGGGATAAAAGCCTATTGACTTTAGTGGAACCCTGTGAAACAATATCATTGCTGACTATAGCATCTCCTCCACATACCATCTTAAAGAGTTTTTGCTGCAAGAAGAAAAGGCATTCAGTTTCATTTTTTGACAGCTTTAGGTCCTAGAGAGTTGGTCCCTTAGGTCATTTATGCCGAGAATAGAATGAAATAATTTTCTATTTCTATTTCTTTCTGGAGCTTTAAATAAACATAAACAGTGTTTATATCTGAGACTCTGTCACAGAGTTCCCAGACAACCCAAACTCTAGCTGAAGAAAAAACTGGCTTTGTGTTTTCAAACAATGGCCATTTCCAAGTTGGGACATGGAACACATACACATGCCTTTTGTGAGAGCATGGATTCTAAAAAACTGTTTATGTAGAGAAGATGTTAGCTGGTAATATGAGGAACCAGATTACCAGAAGAAACAGAAAAGAGATAAAGTACAATCTACACTCCCCCACCAACTAGCTCTGAGACCTTGAGTAAGTCTTCACATCTTTAATGCACAGATTTATTGTGAGGGGGAGTGAGTAAATGAGGTGTTTTGATCAACTGTTACCAAATCCAACTGGGGACCACTTGCACAGCACAGTGAGGCCAAACATCCGCAGTGTGGTTTGCAGCAGGAGAAAGGAAGGCATTTATTTTCAGGGCACCAAGCAAGAAAAATTGGGAAGCTCATGCTTAAGACCTGACCTCCCCCATGCCTTGCAAGTAAGGGTTTTTAAAGGCAGGAGTAAAATTCAGAAAAGCAGAAGTTACAGGCAAAATTGTAAATCAGTACATGAAGGTTATACACTGGTTTGACCTAAAGAGGTGTGTCTTGAGGCAGAAGCTTACAGGTCGTAGGTAGATGCATAGATTTTCTGATTTGAAACTGGTTAAGGAAGAGAAGCTGTGTTTAAAATTTGGGGTCAGCAGAAAAGACTGTTACCTCTGGCCCATGGGTGTGACTTCCTCCGGGCCCCTGAGGAAGAAATTTAGAGCAAAAAAGACAGTCAGAGTTCAGTCCTCAGTTCCCCCTTATCTGAGGTCTACGTGCCAGTGGATCTGTTTGGTGGGGGTCTGGGTTTCTGAAAAATTCAGGGACATATATTAAGATGTTATCTTTAGTTTCTATAAGGAATGAAACATCTCATGACTTTAACTTTCTTTGCTATTGTTTCAACCTACTAGTACCTTCTTCCATATCAAGTTGCTCATTTACCTCTCAATGCTAGCTAGGTGCCTGGAATTTCCCTTGAAAGAACTCAAGATTTTCCCTTATTTCCATGCGTGCAGAGGTTGGGGGTGGGGTGGGTGGACAGTCCCCGAAGAGAGGTCCCTGCTCTGACTCACAGTGATGAACACAAAGTAAATATTAGTTCAACTAGAGTATTTCTGGCAATTTCTCTTTTCCATAGTATTGAGCCATTAGAACAGAAAAGCCTCAACATGGAAGAAAAAACAGTAAGATAGAACAATAGTTGTTTAGAGCTGCCTAGGAGTGATCTGATGGAAACAATACATTGGGGTTTTTTTTCCAGACTGCTTGCTTCTCACCCTTGTGCTGCTTCTCCTAGAGGGGCTGTGTTTGCCAGGACAGCAGCAACCACCATCAGCAGCAGAAACTAGCAACAGTGACGCTTGGGGCTGGAAGTGTCAGGCGAGCTACACATCAGGGCTGCCATTGAGGTTCAGGCTAGGAAAGAGACTAAGGCATCAGGCCAGGGCTCGTTCAGGAATAAAGAGACAGTCTGTGAAGAGTCAAAAGGGATAAAAGCCAAAGCCAAGTGGCCTACTCTTTGAGCTCCTACCTCAAATCGACAGCTTATCTGGGACCTAAGTGCCTGGGAGCAGGACTCTGGGTATGCTTTTATGGCAGTAGCATCAACAGTTTTGCAAGTCTGGAGTAATGTTTGTGATTATGTTTAATGCAAATTCACATGATTGCTTCTGCAGGATGCAGTGTGATATGGTTTGGCTCTGTGTCCCCACCCAAGTCTCATCTCGAATTGTAATCCCCACGTGTTGATGGAGGGATGTGATGGGAGGTGATTAGATCATAAGAGTGATTTCCCCCATGCTGTTCTCATAATAGTGAGTGAGTTCTCAAGAGATCTGATGGTTTTATAAGTGTTTAACAGTTCCTCCTTCACATGGTCTCCCTTGCCTGCTGCCATGTAAGGCGTACCTCCTTCTCCTCCCACCATGATTGTAAGTTTCCTGAGGCCTCCTCAGCCATGTGGAACTGTGAGTCAATTAAACCTCTTTCCTTTGTAAATTACCCAGTCTCTGGTTGTATTCTTTATAGCAGTGTAAAAATGGACAAATATACAGTGGAAGGAGACGGATGTGATTAGAGACTCAGTATCCCTTACTGTGCTGCATTACTGTATTACTCTACGTAGACGTTGCTGTCCTGCCAAGCACTTAGATGCTTCTGCAAGAAAGTCTGGGTTAGAGAGATTTTAGCAGTATTGAGAGAAATAGATATTGTCGTATTAATTGCAGGCTTTTTTCTTCTTTAAGAGAAACTGTTTTGCTCTATTGCCCAGGCTGGTGTGCAGTAGTGCAATCATAGCTCACTGCAGCTCTGAACTCCTGGGCTCAAGTGATTCTCCTGCTTCCACCTCCCAAAAAGCTAGGATTACAGGTGTGAACCACTGCTCCTGGCTAATTTTTTATTATCAATTTTTTTGTAGAGATGGGGGGGGGTCATACTATGTTGCCCAGGCTGGTCTCGAACTTCTGGCCTCAAGCCGTCTTCCCACTTAAGCCTCCGAAAGTGCTGGGATTACAGGCATGAGCCACTGTGCCTGGCCCCTTTTTTCTTTTCTGCTTTACTCTCCCTCTCCTTTTCTTCTTGCTCAGATAAAATTATATTTTTAGATAAACTATTACCAGCCAGAACTATAACCCTACAGTTACGATGGCCTTCTCAAATAGAAACTCCAGATGTTTCTGTATTAATAGTTTTTCATAAAGACTTAATATACATCATACTACATGAAAAAGGTTATTTACACGAAATATGCCATTTAATCCACATACAACCCTATTATTATTATATAATATTATCCTGGCAATTTCTACAGACGAGGAAATGGAAAATTCAATGTGGCATAGTCTATCAGAGGCAGAATTGGGATTGGAAGCTCTGGTTGCCTCTATGGCTCTTGGCGCTCACAACTATCCTAACCTACTTCATTCCACTCAACTGCTTCCATTGGTCTCCCACATCAGCAAACCAACTTCCTGGAGGAAAACCAGGCAGGCCCAAGCTAATCAGCTCAAGCCCTGCCTTGCAGCAGGCTGCAGACGTCAGTAACTGCCTTGCTTCTCCATCATTTTAAATTTCACTTCTGAATGCATCATATATCCTTGCCTCTTACCTGTTCTCTGTGCCACTTTATGCAACTTCAGTGCATGAAGTCCTGGCCCTGCCTTCTTCTGCTTGTGTGCATTTGAGCTTTCTTTTCAGCTCTATTTTTTAGAACTCCATCCCTTCAGGCCTGTAGTTCTTTCACTTGGATGCTGGACTGGACATTTGTAGGGATTATTCTGTTTGCTCTCAGAGTTATTAAATCTACTCAACACCCACCTCACTTCCAGAACTTCTTCCAGTTTTTTCAAGCATGGCCCAGGTCCTTCGATTTATATTAGAAACAAACATCTTACCTATTTCCCTTTTCTGACAACAAGGATATATTTTTAAAGAGAAGCCAATGTATCTTATGTAACCATTGATATTATTTTATAGTCAAGAGGTTTGGGGGTGGTCTACCAATTAGAAGGTGTGCAGCCCTTAAACACAGTGTGTGTCTTACATTTTTACATTTTAGAGGCATTCATGGTGGATTCCTTGTTCTGTCACTGCCTGAGTCACCTTTTCCCCAAAGGTAGTATTCTTTCCTGTCTGGTGTCATGAAGCCAATACACAAAACCTCAAGTGAGTATCAAGCAGTGCAGGCTTTATTTGATGGCCATGGAATTGAGAAGTGGAAGCGTGGCTCACAGATCAACTTCTCAACCAGCAAAGGTGAGAGGGTTAAAATGTAAGGTTTCTCTAACAAAGAAGTTGGACATTAACAGCAAAAGGAGGAATGTCTATGTCTTTTCTGAAAATGGGCAGTGAAGTTCTCAGAACCAGTGTCATCTTTCTTTTTGTCTTGTTATGACTTCTTCCAGTCATTATTATGGCAATTGTGAACTGTCATGGTGCTGGTGCGAATGTTATTTAGCATGGAAATGAAATCATAACAAAGTCTAAGGTCTTTTTAAAATTGTTGGGTCAGCCATCTTGCTTCTAACCAGTCTCTCCTGGTCTGGTTACAAAGGGAACATCCTACCACAGTTGTCCTATTTCTTAAAGATAAGCAGAGTTAGGGCAAGGTAGAAATTCAGCTAAGTCACGTAGGCATTACACCAGGTAACAATTCTACCACTTAATATCATGTAGGATCTTGGGCACGTTGCTGACCCTCTCTAAGGCTGTTTCCCTGATATAAAATGTCAGAAAAAAATAAAATCCTATCACACAGGGATCTTGTGAAAATAAAATAATGTGTATAAAGCACTAGCACAGAGTCTCACACATTATAACTCACCAAAAACCAATAAGTGCTTTGTCACCATTAATATTATAGAATTCTAGCCTTACCTCTTTCTTATAATCAACAGCTTCTCAGTCCCAACCTCAATCTACTACAAATACATAATGAAAACAGAACCTACATATGAGCTGTGCTTTGAAAATGGTGAATTGTTAAGCTGAATTTCAACTTTCAGCATGAACCATGATGTACAGATCATTTATATTCTGAAACTGAGGAAAGTTTAAAAAAAAAAAAAAAAGGTATCTGTGGCCATGCACGGTGGCTCACGCCTGTAATCCAAGCATTTTGGGAGGCCGAGATGGGCGGATCACGAGGTCAGGAGATCGAGACCATCCTGGCTAACACGGTGAAACCCCATCTCCACTAAAAATACGAAAAAAAATTAGCTGGGCGTGGTGGCGGGCGCCTGTAGTCCCAGCTACTCGGGAAGCTGCGGCAGGAGAATGGCGTGAACCCGGGAGGCGGAGCTTGCAGTGAGCCGAGATCGCGCCACTGCACTCCAGCCTGGGCCACAGAGCGAGACTCTGTCTCAAAAAAAAAAACCAGATATCTGTGTAAACTTTCCACCTTATGTCAGAATCTTTCCATATAAGTAATAAAACTTCGTTTTTTTCTATTGTGTGGGTTTATATGAGTGGGAGATAAATGTTTTCAAAATTCCATCATCTTAATTGGCTTATGAAGAGTATTTTTTAAAAATAAATCTTCAAAGATTCTAGACTAGCATGTAGCTCAAGTTAAAAATTTAAGAAGGTGGAGAGAAAAATACTGAAAATGGATGGCAGTGATTTAATGTCAAATTTGTTCTGGTCTACGAATTTTTTTACACAAAGCTTACTTTTTAGATAAAAGGAATAAACTTTCAAAAAGAACACTAAGAGATGATTCTTAAAGATAGATAGTTTATATATAAATACAAATAGAGAAATATAGAGATAAATATTTAGATAGATACAGATACCCTATAAGATAGAGAGCCCTATGGTAACATCCTGGTTGTATTAGGTGCTATTCTGTTTGACGTACTAGAGTTAGTTACATTTAACTCTGCAATGTTTATTTCATCCTTTTCCTGATTTGAAGAGTCTAATTCTGCTCTATATTATGTACTTCCAGGAATGTGTTGTGTAATGACAATGAAAGAGCTAATCAGTTTTTAATGCTAGTGCAACACTAATTTGATGCATACCCTTGTAGATGTTACGTCAACTCTCACCTTATTTTTTGAATGGAAACACTAATACCAACACAGCTCTACTTTACAGCTAACTAATAACTGATTATTTATTAACATTCTCTTTAAACTAATCACATTGACAACAATGTATGTTTTTAAATAGGCTTTTTAACCTCTTTTCTCTCCTTAGTGTTTCAGACACATTACACTTCTTCCTGCTCCCATGGCTGCAATTATGGGTTTCCTTTTCCTGGAATACCAATCAATCTCTTGTTCATCTATCCAAATCTCCTTCTTTCAAGACTCAGTTCAAATCCTAGCTCTACAATAATGTCATTTATCTCCCCCAAACTCCTACAGCATTTAACATCTGAACCATACATTTCAATTTAATTTTTTGAAGACCACATGCTCATCAGTTTCTCTAAGAGTCTTGCCTGATTATGGTAGGCTCCTCATGCATTATGCATCCCATTGGTGATGATACGGGGGACTTGCAATATATCAATTCGCATTTATGAATTCAATATTTAATCTGTTCAACTAGATTATCATTTACGCAAGAATAGGGACTATGTCTTATATCCTTATAGCAGTGTGTGATCTGACTCTTTCAGGTTGACTCTGTTTTGCAGGCTGATAGATGTCAAGACTTTGGTTGGGTTATTTTCTCCCCAAGCTAATAAAGTACAATGACTTCAATTGACTTTACGTTTGTTGACTTTCCTTTTGTTATCTGTAGTCTAATTATCTTTGTTGACAGTCCAGTCTCCCAGAAACCCTGTTGGGCTCTCTAGCACACCTTTGAAGAATGGCCACCATACATAATATGGATTATGTCAGACCGACCTGGGATTTATTCCACTTTTACCACTTAAAAGCGCCATCACCCTGGGCAAATAACATAATCTCCCCAAGCCTCATTTCTTCAACTGTAAAATGGGAATATTAATTGCATCAGGGTCAGAGGGTTGGTTGTAAGCCTTAAGTGAGGGTTGATGTGGGGAATAGATGAGGCAGAGCATGAAACTGTAAGTGCACATTGTAGATATAATAGTTCATGAGAGAGGTTAACTGATATGGTGTGGCTGTGTCCCCACCCAAATCTCATCTTGAATTGTAGCTCCCATAATTCCCATGTGTTGTGGGAGGGACCTGATGGGAGATAATTGAATCATGGGAGGGTAGTTTCCCCCATACTGTTCTCATGGTAGTAAATAAGTCTCACGAGATCTGATGGTTTTATAAGGGAAAACCCCTTTCGCTTGGCTCTCATTCTCTCTTGCCTGCCACCATGTAAGATACGCCTTTTGCCTTCTGCCATAATTGTGAGGTCTCCCTGCCATGTGGAACTATAAGTCTATTAAACCTCTTTTTCTTTATAAATTACCCAGTCTTGGATATGTCTTTATCAGCAGTGTGAAAATATACTAATACATTAACAGAGGTTAATAAAGTGGAAGATAATATAAGTGGAGTCACAAAGGTATTAGGTGGCAGAGCTCTTGAGTCTGGGCATCTAACTGCAGAATCTGGGCTTTCAGCCACTCTGCACTCTACATGTAAGTGTGATTGATACTTGAAGAGCCTAAGAAATGTTACCTTCTACTCTTTGAGGTGGAAAATACCTCTCCCCAAGCAAAACAAACATTAATATTTAATCACATTTTGGATCTCTTCAAGAGATAAGGAGGATAGAGGATCTTTCTTTGCTCACTTTAAGTAAGAGTAAAGATAAAAAACTCTTTAACTGGGAAGGCTGAGAGTGCACTGTGGGAGACTGCCTTGCTCCTGGCTGACAGCAACTTGGGCCTACTTTGGCTGGAAGTGGTTTCACTTACCCTACAAGCAATGAAAACTTTCCAAGGCATGCTTTACTCTTTACCACAAAGGTATATTTAGCTCTGGTATGCTTTGAGCTAGGCAGGTGTTGAAGCACTAATTCCAATTCTGTCCAAAAGGGCCCTATTCTCACTGCTTTAAAGAGATCTTTCCAGGGCTTGTTTATTATGAAGATTCAAAGCTTTATGCTAGATCCTGAGTCAAATTTAAAATCAGTGTCCTCACTTGGTATATAGCAGATGTGTTCACAAAGACTCCCTTGTGCCTGAAGCTGACTGACATGCAGGCTTCCAACCACTGGCTTTAACCCATCAAGCAAGTTTCACTTTCGTAAATTCCTTAACACTTTTAGAGAATAAATAAAAGCTCAGGCATTTTTTTAAAGTGTTGACAAATAAATGCGTTGCACTCAATCTACTTGAGAGACACGTATGCATTGCTTGCTCCATGCCAAACAAGGACCTGAGCTGATGCTCTGGGGAAGATGATGGAGAGCTGTTGTCCAAGCCCACTCTGTGCTCCACACAAGGATGCAGCCCTCATGCTTATGTTAGACAAAGTAACAAATGTGAGAAGCCATGTTTGCCCATCTGCTTGCCAACATAATTTCACAAAGCCTCTGACTCTTTGGTGACATGCAGCTCTCTGGAAAGATGCTTTGAAGACAAAACAAGATAGTGCACATAGCTTCTCTATGGCTCTTGCCCAAGTCACTATATTTTTTAAGAGGTAAATTACTCCAGTCCTTGCCTTTTCCTTTGTTTTAAAACTTTTTTTTTTTTGACAGGGTCTTGCTCTGTCACCCAAGTTGGAGTGCAGTGGCATGATCATGGCTCACTGCAGCCTGTACCTCCCCAGGCCCAGGTAATCCTCCCACCTCAGCCTCCAGAGTCACTGGCACTACAGGCATGCAACAGCTTGCCCAGTGAATTTTCTCATTTTTTTTTGGTAGAGATAGCGTTTCACCATGTTGTCAACATCAGCCTGGATAACATGGTAAAATGCTGTCCCTACCAAAAAAATGGAGTCACGCACCTGTAGTCCCAGACACTCCGGAGGCTGAGGTGGGAGGATAGAAGCAGCTGTAATAATAGCTAACATGTATTTAGTGCTTACTGTGTGCTGTGTCTTACCCTAAATGTTGTAAATATCTAAACTTATTATATCCTTATTATGACTCATTTTACCTTCATAACAATAGTACAGGATAGGTATTATTATCTCCATTATATAGATGTGAAACAGGCTCAGATATTTCAACTGATTTTCCCATGGTGGAAAAAAAAAAAAAACAAACCCAGTAAGTGTGGAAACTAGAATTTGAGACCCAAATAGTCTCCTTGAAAGGAGAACTCTAGGCCAGGCCCAGTGGCTCACGCCTGTAATCCCAACACTTTGAGAGGCCAAGGTGGGTGGATTGCTTGAGGTTAGGAGTTCAAGACAAGCCTGGCCAACATGGCGAAACCCCATCTGTACTAACAATATGAAAAAATTAGGCAGGCATGGTGGTGCACAGCTGTAGTCCCAGCAACTCAGGAGGCTAAGGCAGGAGAATTGCTTGAATCTAGGAGGCAGAGGTTGCAGTGAGCCGAGATCACACCACTGCACTCCAGCGTGGGTAACAGAGCAAGACTCAGTCTCAAAAAAAAAAAAAAAAAAAAAAAAAAGAAAGAAAGGAGAACTCCAGTTTCTTCTCTGCTACTGCTCTCCATACTTCACTTCTGACACCAGATAGGTTTTCTCCCCACACAAAGCACTGCTCCAGTTTTCTATAGATACCAACAGTGTGTCCTACAGTTAATTCTTACACTATATCTGGAAATAGGTCGGATCTCACAGGTCCAGGGCTGTTCCACAGTGAGCAGGTCTATGCACACTTACCACCAAAGATAGAGAGAGCTGAGAGGCCAAAGGAAGAGGCTGACAAATTCACTTCTTCAGAAAGAAACATTTAATAGGGAATTACGAGCATAAACTATCTCAGGATGAGATGGTGGATCCCCATGCAGTTACCCCCAGACCCAGGGCTTATATGTCACAGGGGATTTGCCTAAGGGCGGAATTTCCGGTAAGTATTTGTTTATAATAACATCAAAGTTATTTCACCCTGAGGCTGGGACTTATGGTAAGTACATGAAAGTAGAAATATTAAAGGTATTCCCAGAACTGGGGTTAATCAGAAGTCAACATGGCAGATTAGCATCCAAGACAGAGTTGCTTTAGCCTCTAAAAGGGCTCAGTCCCATTAGAAACCACCCCACCCCACTTCAGATGCTAATCCCAAGTCCGGGCTGTCCCCTGTGCTTCGGACCAACTGGGTATAAATCGGGGTTCTCACAACTCTCTCCTAAGTCAGTTCCAAGAATGGCTCACAGACCTCAGAGAAACACTTTCCTTATTAAATTACTGTTTTCTTACAAAAGAGTACAGCTTAAGAACAGCCAGATGGAAGAGATGCACAAGGCAAGGTATGGGGAACACCTAGGTATGTGCAGAGCTTCTATACTGTCTGGGCACGTCACCCTCCCAGCACCTCCACCTCTTCACCAACCCAGAGGCTCAGGATTGATTAAATTATTGGCTGACGGTGACTGAGTCAGTCCAACCCTCTCCTCTCCCTGGAGGTTAGGGTTTAGAGGCTGAAAGTTCTAACCCTCTAATCCCTCGGTTACTTCCCCTGGCAACCAGCCCTCATCCTTAGGAGCTTTCTAAAAGTCATCTCATTAACATAAACTCCGGTGTGGTTGGAAGAGGCATATTATGAATAACAGAAGATACTGCTTTTACCTTTATGGCTCGAATCACTTAGGAACTCTTATCACTTAGGAAGTTATAAGGGTTTTAAAAGCTCTGGCCAGGACAAGGAATGAAGACCAAAGTATATATTTCTTATTATATCACGATATCACATGGGTTCCAGAGAGAGTTCTATAATCTTCTAGACTTAGGTGTACTTCTGGGCCAGGGCTAAGAACCTTAATGAACTGGAGAAATTGAAAGAAGAAAGTCGACAAGCAACAAGGGATAGAAAAAAGCTGAGCTGAGGAAATCTGTTAGAAGTCTGCTGTAATTGTTCAGATTGGAAATGATGAGGGTCTGGATTAGGTGGTAATAGTGAAGACAGTGGTGGGTGCAGGAGTGGAGACACAACTTTGGAGACAGACTGAACAAGAGTTAGTGATGAAGCTGACATGAGGGAAACAGAGAAAGAGGAACTAAAATTACTGTTTGCTTTAGAAGTCAGATAACTAAGTGAATAGATGTATTAATTAGAAACAATTTTTGAGCACTTATTATGAAACTGCCTTTGCAAAGATTATGATAATGAGAGAAACCTAGCATGGCTGATTCTATCTGATTTCTAGCCTCACAGGCTGGCTATTGTCATTCATTCTTCGGCATAGGCCAAGCTAACCGTGGGAGGAATTTAGTTTATATTTTAACTTTGAAGGAAGGATGTCTTAGCATCTCCCAAAAACTGACCCTTTCCTTGTTCCACTGGCTGAAACTGCCTTTGTAAGACTAATGAAAGGCCACAAGATTAGAGTTATGGGAGAGGCCTGAATTCTGCTAACTGTAGGCATAGTTTCTATAATCCCTTACTACTCAGGAGTTATGTGCCCAGAGGTCACAAGATTTGAGAATTCCCCATTCATTCCTATAGATAACATCACTGTTACAAAAGCTAAGATTGGTCCTTGGCAATGTTTTTCTGACTTTTGCATTCTGGTAACTGACTAACCCCACCTGGACTCATGACTCATGTCTCAACTGGTCCTGTGGGCCTCCATTCAGAGATGGACTCGGCACAGAAGGACTGTTTACACACTCCTATGATTGTATCCCCAACCAATCAGCATTCTCCACGCCCTAGAACCTTGCCCACCAAACTATCCTTGAGAAACCCTAACCTCTGAGCCTTCGAGGAGACTGACTTGAGTGATAACTTCAGTCTTGGCTACCTTGTGTTAACTAAACTCTTTCTTTATGGAAATACCACATTCTCAGTGAATTGGTTTTGCCTGGGCAGTGGGCAGAAAGAGCCCATTGGGTGACTAAAATTATATGCCAAGAAGGAGATGGGGCAGATGAGAGAGAAAATCTCTGTCATAAGGAGTTTCCCTTCTAGTGTGGGATTCAGATGATAAATTGACACATACACAAAACCATTTTGGATAGTGCCAGAATGTGAAGAAAATCAAGCAGCTAAAGGAAAGAGAGTCACCATATGATGGGTATGAAAGTAACTTTAGATAAGATGGTCAGAAGAAAGGGAGTGAGATACCGTAATGCTCTGAGGAACTGCTTTCAGGCAAGAGGACTGGCAAATGTGGAGGTGCTATGGGCAGGGAGAGGGCAGGGTCATTGAATGATTCCCAAGAGGGCCAGTGTGACTGGAGGATAAGGAGTGTAGGAGAGTGAGCAGCAAAGAACATCAGAGAGGGAGACAGAAGCCAGATAATGAAGGGCCTTATAGGCTTGGGTGGAAGTTTAATGGGAAAACAGTGGAGGGCTTTAAGTAGGAGAGTAACATGACATGTTGTAAAAGAGCACTTTGGCTACTTTTATGTGGAGCAGACTGGAGAGAGATCACAGTAGGAGGAGAGAGACCATTTAGGAGACAATTATAGAGATGAGCATGGTTTGGGCTGGGTGCTGGGTGATGTGACATTTGCACTGTATTTTGAACGGGGAGCCAGCATAACTTCTTGGTGATTGGATGTTGGGGTGGGGAGCGGGCAGCAAAAATGAGGAGGCTGAGCAAAATCGTGGCTGGCTCTTAGATATTTGATCCAAGCAACTGAATGAATGTTAGTGCCATTCATTGAGTCGAAGAAGTAGATGTGGGGAGAAAACCAGGAGTTCTATTTTACCCATCTAAGCAGTAGGCAGTTGGATACTGTAGCTGATGCTTATGGAAGGGGTGCAGGCTGGGGAAATATATGTGTAAGTCATGGGAATATAATGAGAAGACAAAGTCCAGGAGGTGGATAAATCCTGAGTTTAGATACAGATTCCACTACAGAAACTAGGTTTCAGGGTTTGGAACTCAAGAAGATGAGAGAGGGCCTGTGTGGAACATGAGAAAGTAGCAGCCAGACAGGCAGTTTCTGAGAGCTGAATAGGAGGAAATTAGAAAATTAAGCACTGGAGAGAATAATGGTTTAATCTCAGGCTAGGTTTAAAGCATTCAATGATGACAAACTAATAGTATGATAACCATAGCATAATCTTGCACAGTTACTACAGCTAACATTACTCATAGTGCCAAGTGCCCGTTGTCTCACAGCAGATGTTTTGGCAGCTGTCAAATCACACCAAACAGGCAACAGCATTCACATAGTCTATAGAACTTGTCCCATTTCATATACAGACAGAAGCCTCCTGGAGTGATCAACTTCTTGGAGCCTATCCAAAATCTGGGTCTCCTTTGCCTTATATGGGATTCTCTAGCAAGGAAGGGAGGGAGGAAGAGAGAGAAGAGGACAGAAACAAATGCCTATTGAGAGCTAAACATGTGCCAAGCACTATGCTATGCACTTTATATATTTTATCTCATTTTTACCCATTTTACAATCCCATGAGGATGATATTGCTAACCTACATTTATAGATTAGGAACTCTGTGCCCAGAAAGGGTAAGTAAATTATCCAAGGTCAAAAACTAAGTGGCAGAGTTGGCGTTGATAAATTGATACCCATCACCCTGACTCCTGGCCCAATTTTATTCCCATGTTACCTCTTTAATGTACTTATCTCATAAGACCCATTTTCTAATATTTCTGCCTTGATGAAAGAGAGAGAGAAAGAGATAAAACCTTTGATTTATTAGCAATGCAGTGGCAAATTTTGTTTTCCCATCCAGACTGTAGCTTGGGTGGCATTTATTTCCCTGGAATAGGTCCTTTGGGACTGGGATAATTTAGTGAGTGACTTATATAAAAATATGCCTAGATTAGAGTAGGCTTGAGTCTCAATTTAATTATTTCACCTACAACATTGAAGAACTGTGGAGCTGTCACTATAAAATGCACTCTTTCTCACTTCAGTGCTATTCCTCACCTCCCACCAGAGCATTTTTGACAGGAGTAGGTCTATTTTAAAGTAACCAACCTAAAATTTTAACAAGCCACAGTGTTCTAAGGGAAATTGTTAATATGAAAACTGAAGTTCGTCTTGAAAAACTCTGTAAGATACTTCATCATAATTTCTCATGAAATAAAAATTGGAAGCTTCTTAAGGGAATTGTGGAATGAGATTTCCCTTTGCAACAGAATGAGTGCCAAGTGGTATTAAAGATGATATTACCTTGTATTCCTGATGCTAGAGGAATAATACTATCTCTGGTGATAAGAAGAATGTAGGGACTCAAGAGGATGTTAATTAAATTTATTTATGTAACTCTTTGAAATTCAGAAAGGCCAGAATGGAGCCAGGAAATCATCTAAGAAAGTTGGTTCAAGTTAAAAAAAATCAACTTAGAAAGCACAAGGTTGATTGTTTCAGTAGTGCCTGGGTTAGGAGACTCTTAGAGGGGAGACATGTAGAGAAGGAGATGAGTTAGAAGCAGGACTTTGATTAGATGGTAAATCTGGCTCCAGGATGGTGGGATCCTATCTGATTTTTTCACTGCCTTATGTTTTTGCCACACAGTAAAAATTCATAACTAGTTATTTAATGAGTGAGGGAGGAATGCAGTTCTTTTGAGTAAATACATTAATACAGCTGAAAATAAATCCACCTCATATGGGGAAATGTAGTCTTTTCCATCTGAAAAAAAGTGGTAGGAAGAGTTTTGACTTCTTCAGCACGTGGCCTGGCTGTTTTGGTGCCTCCACTGATTGAAGACTCCAAACTATTTGTCTAGTTCATTTCCCTGCACAGGGGTGCATCTCTGGTAATTGTGAGGATAAGGAAGGAAGGATTAAGAAAAGAACATAGAGACAGAGAAGAATTTCCCAATTCTGAATGCAAATGAGACAAAAGGCCTAAAGGGAATGTAGATCACGTGACCCACCTTTGACTCTATAAACAGAATGTACACTCAGGTCTTGCTTAACGACAGGGTTATGTTCTGGGAAATGCATCATTAGGCAGTTTTGTTATCATGGGACCATTCCAGAGTGAACTTCCACAAAGGTAGATCATGTAGCCTACTGCACACCTTGGCTCTATGGTATGGCCAATTGCTCCTAGGCTATAAACCTATGCAGCACGTGACTGTACTGAATACTACAGCCAGCTGTAACACAATGGTAAGTATTTGAGTATCTAAACATAGAAACATATCTAAACATAGAAAAGGTGCAGTAAAAATACGGTATTATAATCTTATGTGATCACAGCCATATATGTGGCCCATTGCTGACCGAAACATCATTATGCGGCACGTGACTGTACTTTATCAGAGATACTAATTCACTAAAATTGAACCTGAAATATTATAAAATGAAGTAAAATATATTGGATAACAGAGACTTTAAGTAATACCTTTTAGCATTTAAAAATCAAGTATTTCCAGCCCGTTTAAATATCCCTTTGTAAGATATGAAAAAATCATTTACTAAAATTAAATGGGAATAATTCTAAATTTATCCTTAACCACCTCTTTTCTATTTGCCCATTCTGCCAAGATTCATGCCTGAATAATGGCCTAAGTGGGAAATAAAAGAAATGATGCTGTTAAGTGTTCCAGAATTAAATTATTGTTCAGAATGAGGTCATTTTATTTAATTTCACATTTTTTTTCCTAAAGACTAGGTGTTAACAGTTGCCATCTCATTCTTTTAATGTCACTAATTTCATTTTTAGCCACTGGTTTAAAAAATGCTGGGAGATAATATTTAAAAATTGATGACTATTTGTCTACTGTCTGTTGAAAGTTGTGCTTTAAATGTTACTGAATCACCATTCCAGATGGTGCTGCAGGTAAAGGCTAAAGTTTTCTTTAGGCACAACTCTAAAGAAAGTTGTTTGGATGCTGTCATAGTTTCTGAGTTAGTACTTTATTTCTCCTCTGGACACTTGGGAGCCTCTGAAGTTTCAAGATTTGTTTTTTCTGGGTTCCATTTCTATATATCTTATTCTTTCCTAGCTAACAAGGATCCTAGAGAAGTTATTTAGTAGAATTAGTAGAAATGATTTGCCTTCCTGGAAGAATTGCATTTTTTGCAAGGTTCTTTCAAAACAAAGGCAAAATAATTGAATGTCGTCATTTAAGTGACTGTGTAAGTTGCTGCTCTCTTCTCTGTTGCTCTTTAAAATTCTATCATAGTATGAACAAAGCCCATATTCCATGGGCCCCCTTTAGCAGGAGAAAAGATGGGCCAGCATTGTTTAAGAAAAATAACAAAGTTTTATAATGGAAAGATACAGAATTGGGGAGATATTTTTTGAGCAGGAGGACTTACCCTGAACTTCTCAGGCAGCCTTTTGGCAAAGAAATCCATAAAGATGGATGGGAATGAGAGTAAATAAATCTATATTTTCGTTTTAAAGTTCACTTCAGACACTGTTGAAAAAAATGACAGATTGGGGTCCCACAGGAAAACTCATCAACAGTATCAACCTGCCTTCATTTAACCAACATGCCACATTTTAGGTTTGCTTTTAGAAGGGAAAATACTGGAGTTGGTGATGTTTGAAGCCAAACATTTTAAGTTAATTTGTTTCAGGAAAAGAAATACCAATTTCTCACCAAGGTTTGAATCTTCAACAATGCAATGAAGTATCAGGACCTTTATTTCCTTAGTTTTTATTGATACCCTAAAATCTTAAGTCAATTATTTTCTATTATTCTCTCTAATATCACTAAGGAGGGAGTTCCTGATGACCTTCTGCCACCACTCCCAGGGGTAACCCTGCTCAGATGCCCCAGATATGGCTTGTTTCAGATGGGGCTCATAGAATTCACAAAAATGACCAAAGAGGGTAGCAGCCTGTATAAGCAAAGACATTTTCCTTTTTAAAAATCCACATTAATTTAAATAGTTAGTACCCTAAACATCATTGGATGGTGCTTTAGTATCTCAGACTACCAAAGTTTGTAGATACAAAGTCCGATTCAGTCTAGGTGAAAATGAATTTCTTCTAGCCTGGTTTAAACGCCCTATCTTTGCATAGGACATTTTCTTTCCTCATTCAAATTGAAATTGGAGTTAATTTTTAAAAAATTGAATAAATGCTCTCAAGTGTGTCTCCCACCATTTCTTTTGGGACCAGCTGGTAGCTGTCCTGAGAAAAAGGAGGGAATAGAGGAGGGATTATAATGTAATCATTATTGTTGCCTAAACTAAAAAAACTGTTCTTGGTCCATGAACAGTTTAGTATTTGGACAAAGACAAACAGTGCTGTTTTGCCTGTTGGAAAAAATAAATGATAAAAGAAAGCAAACCAATATTTATCAGGGAGGATTGCTTAAATTTGTGGGAATCAGCAGCTTTGAAATTTTGAGTAATCTGTTTACAGCATCAATTTTAGTGAAATGGGGCAAAAACTCTTGTGCTATTTATTTTGTTTATTTAGACACTTTGAGGTATTCTGATTCTTGGTATTATTTACATACGTGACCCCTTATGGATAACCCTCTCTTTTTATTAGTAAAATAGTACTTTAAAAAGAAATTATAGTATGTTTGTATAATGAAGGCTCTTTTCCACATACTTAATATGCTCAGCTTAGTGACATCTAATGAATGCCAGTGGCTGTATTAGTCAGGGTTTTCCAGTGAAACACAACCAATAGGATACTTAGTGATATGGTTTGGGTCTGCGTCCCTGCCCAAATCTCATGTCAAATTGTAATCCTAGGTGTTGAAGGTGGGGCATGGTGGAAGGTGACTGGATCCTGGGGGCAGATTTCCCCCTCGGTGTTGCTCTTGTAAAGTGAGTGAGTGCTCATGAGATTTGGTTGTTTATAAGTGTGTGGCACCACCCCCTTCTCTCTCTTCCTCCTACTCTGGCCACATAATAAAATGTGCCTTCTTCCCTTTCGCTTTCTGCTATGATTGTAAGCTTCCCGAAGCCTCCCTAGCCATACTTCCTGTAAAGCCTGAAGAACCAGGAGCCAATTAAACCCCTTTCTTTATAAATTACCCAGTCTCAGGTATTACTTTATAGCAGTGTGAGATTGCTCTGATACACTTATAGATGTATAAGAGATTTATTATGGGAATTGGCTTACCCAATTGTGGAGGCCATGAGGTCTCACAATGTGCCCTCTGTAGATTGGAGAACCAGGAAACCTGGTGGTATAATTCAGTCTGAGTCTGAAAGCCTGAGAGCCATGGAAACCAATGGTGCAAGTCCTGGAGTCTACAGGCCTGAGAACCAGGAGCTCCGTTGGCCAAGAGCAGGAGAAGATGTGTGTCCCAGCTCCAGAGGAAAGAGAGAATTTGCCCTCCTCCCTTTTTATTGCTTAATGTGGGCTCCAGTAGGTTGGATGATGCCTGCCTACTTTAATTAGGGTGGATCTTCTGTACTCAGTCCACATACTTAATATGCTCAGCTTAGTGACATCTAATGAATGCCAGTGGCTATATTAGTCAGGGTTTTCCAGTGAAACACAACCAATAGGATACTTAGTGATATGGTTTGGGTCTGCGTCCCTGCCCAAATCTCATGTCAAATTGTAATCTTAGGTGTGGAGGTGGGGCCTGGTGGAAGGTGACTGGATCCTGACTCCAATACTACTGACTCCAATACTAATCCCCTCCAGAAACACCCTCACGGATGCACCCAGAAAGAATGTTCAACTAGCTATCTGGGCATCCCTTAACCCAGTCCAACTGACACATAAAATTAAGCATCACACTGGCTAACTACAATTGAGAAGAGTGAATATTCAGCGCATCACTCCTAGGGATTCTCTCACTTGGCCTTTTGCATGCATTGCCCATGTTACTCAGTCCTCTGCTTGTGCCACCAGAGAGATATACCTTGAAGAGGAAACTCAACATTGTTTTGTGGTAGGAAGTGAATTTCAGAGTTGTGATCTTAGACTGCTAATCAGATCTTGAGATATTCAAGTGATTCATAGTCTCAAAATCACGGGAAAATGAGTAAAATGAGTTATAGGTCTTAGAATTTCTGACACTTCACGTTAATTACTAAATCCACCCTCTCCCTAGATTCTCCACCTTTAACACACTTTTTAATCTCCCTCAACATTGTCTAATTGTTTCAAAAATACACTGTTAAAACATCACACTCTTGACATTCTTTAGTCCTGCTTTGCAAACAGGTATTATGATTATCTGCTACAGGTCTCAGTGAAATCTCAAGAGGATTTAGCTATGAAACAGTTTTAAATTTCAACTGAGAAATTAATAAAATACGTCAGTTTAGCAAAATTATACTAATTTTTCTTTCTGTTTTACAATTGTGGACTTCTCTTATACCACCAGGGACAATAAGGTATTGGCTGAAGGGCCAAACATAACTACTAGGGTAAAAATAACTAATTAGGGAGACCAAAGGGGTAGATGGTAGGGAAAAGAGAGACCACATAATAATCACTTTTAAATCTATGGCTTTATGTAAAAGATTCTACTATATAATAGTATTTAACTTGAAAAACATGGCTTTTCAGATTTTTATTTTTATGCACTAATAAAAGACTTGCAAATGATGAGATTACATGCACAATCAGCATGAATAATTTCCATTAATATCAAGGGCTAATATCTGCCCTCAATTAACATATGTAATTCTCTCAGGAAGTAATGTACCAGCCTTTGCCCTTAAAGATGTTTAAATAAGTTTTGTGAGTGAATATCCTATATAAATTTCCTCAGGAAGTAATGTGCCAGTTTTTGCCCTTAGACATTATATAAATTTTGTGAATGAATATCTTAGAACATAGTTTGAAATTTTATTTAAACTTTAATTGGAAAAGCATAATATATAAAAATAAAAAAGGTGTGAAAAAGATATTAAAAATTGAACGGTTTAGCTTTTGCTAACAAAATTTTGAATGTAGAGCTGTTGGATTAATTTCTTACAGGATTATATGCTAAACTGTCAACTTGAAATGCTAAACTGTAAATTCCTGAACAGAGAATAATTATTTTCACTGAATAATCTGTACAGCACCATTCCAAAAATATGACAGTATTACCAATATCTTGAAAATATATTGTTATAGTATAGTGGTTATAAAATGGAAACAGAATGAGTCCAGGTACAGGTATAAATTTAAATATGAAACTAACTTCAATTGCTTATGCTGATATGAAGCATTCTGAAAAATGTATTTGCCCTTAAAAAAACTTATCTGGATCTCTGGGAATGAAAAATTCTAAATCTCTTTCAAATATACCTGAGTTTAAAATATTATTTGAATATCTGAGTTTTTCTAGTATAAATTAATCATGATAAGATTAATAATTTATTATGTCTATAAATCTACTTATTCCAAATGAAGAAAGATTTTATTAAGTCAGAATATTGCTTATATTTGAAGAGTTGGAAGATATAACAGTTAACCAACCAGTGGTATGCTATGTTAGAATCAGAATGTCTACATGAAAATTGTCTTCCAATTATTTTGTCTACATGGCAAAACCAAACAACAAAATACTAAGACACCATAAGATATGATTGATGCTTATGTTTTAATCTTAGCATATTTATTTTTAAGTAAACAAACTTTTATTATCTGGATTGTTATATATATTCATTATATATATGTGCCATTTTAATCAACGAACATTGTCTTTAACATTTGCTTATTCTATTTTTCTCTTTCTATAGGAATAATCAGATCTTTTCTATGAAAACAAAATTGTTTCGTTTTCGCTTATCATTTCTGCTAAAAGGTTCTTAGAATGGGACTTTGAAAAATTTTTTTCCTGGATGTTTAAAATATGCTGTTTATTTAAAATTCTATTAAAATAAATATAAAGTAGCGATATAAATGATATGAAAGTATTATTTTTACATGCCAGTATATCTTTTATTACGGAAAAGTGATCAGGTATTTGTAGAACTTCACATAAGGAGGAAACCGTTCAGTAGGTCTGAAGTAGGAAACTTACATAGAGTAATCAATGTTCTGTTAATCAGAAGGCTTATCCAATTGTTCCAGGAATAAATCACATCACTAAATGATCTGTATGTCCATGATTAGCACAAGGGTGTTGGGTGAGTGATATTGAAATGGCTGCTTTTTATTTCTATTCCATCATCTAATCTGGGAATGAGAACATGTCTATCAGTCATGGGGTAATCCATTTATTAGATACTCTGCTCTGGGAAAACCTTTGTCCAATTTCTATTTATGATCCCAATGCTCATCACACAAGTGATTCCCCCCTTCCCTTCTTGGGGGTGGAAATGAATAGCATTAGCAAATTGTTACTGATGTCTGTTGTTCTTAAATAATTCACACTGAGATCTGTAGCTTTTACAGAAAAGTAAGTACATCTATTAGAACAAAGGGAATACAAAATGCTTGTTTGTCATTTGGGATTCTGAATACTGATACATTTCTGATGAATTTCTAAATTAATACTGGTGGGCTAAATGCCATAACAAACAACTATCAAATCTGATAGGTTTAACAATGAAATATAACAAAATGCTTGTTGTTTTCTCAAATTTTAGTCCAGCGTAAATGGGTGGGGGAGCTTTGCTATATGCAGTTTTAAGGGGTACTTTTTATTTTGTGATGCCTCTGTCTTTATGACACACCATCCAAGGTTGCCGCAGAAGAGGAAGAGGATAGAGATCATGGGATTTTGATGGGACAGACTTGGACAGGCATACATCTTTTCTGCTCACATATACTACCTAGAATTTAGTCACATGGCCATCCTATTTGCAAGTAAAGCTGAAGACATAGTATAACTGCATGAAAAAGGAGAAGAGAAATATGTTTGATAAACATTCAGGTAGGTTCTGCCAAATCTACCCTTCAGATCATTAAATAGCTCTTTCATTCTTATTTCCACACATAGAACACAATCAACATCTCTTTACGGGGAACAAACCCCAGATTGTCACTTAATCATCTCATCCAGATCAAAGTCTATGTCCATCAGATACAGAATTGGCTGCTTCAGGTGTGGTATGAAAGCAAACGATTAGGATATCAGTTCCCCCTCCCCAATCCTCTCAACAGTGGAACAGGTGTAGGATAACTGAAATAAAAACTCTCATTCCAAAGAAGTACTGGTCTAACTGGTCTATAGTCTTTCTGCAGTCCTGTGATTTTGTGAGGCAGGTCTTGTAAGTGAGAGCATTGCTCTGATTGGACACTGGCTCAAGAGGAACTACCTGATTTTCTTTGCTTTTGTTTCTTTGTTTTTCATTTTGTTGTGTTGTCTCCTAGCTCTGCCATCTGAGGGTGGAGTGAGTTTTTTTGTTTTTGTTTTTCTTGTTTATCATCATCTTTGGACACATGTGAAGTGATAATTGGAGAATATTCCCTCTTAGGGACTGTATAGATTTTGCAACTTATTTCCCATTTGTAGAGGGTTGGAGTGTAAGAGTTGTTTTTAACCCTGGAATAGTCTTAAGTTTTTGGTTTCTTGTTTTTTGGGGGTTTTTTAATACAGCTTTCTTGTTTTCTTTCAAATATAATTCCCTGAGAAAACTCCTTACCTATTTGCTTCTAGTCAGTTACATTACAGTAACCACACCTAATGTTCATTCCTAGACCCAGCTCTCTAATAGCTGGCCTCCTTTTCTTCCTCCTCCCTCCTTTCCTTCCCTTCCCTTCTGCTTCCCAGCCCTCCCCTTCTCTTCCCCGTTCTTCTCTTCCTTTCTCCTCTTCCTCTCTCTATTTTTCTTTCTCTTTCTCCATCTCACCTCGTCTTTCCCTTTCTGTTTTATTGCCTCCTTATTTCTTTTTCTAAATGTAATAGTGGCTACCCCAGGGCTATTAGGCCAGAACGGGAGGTTCACCCTTCATCTAATCTTTGCTTGAGTCACTGAATTCAGCTGAGAAGCTTTATTGGACCTTTGCCTCTGAAAGTCTTTTAAAATCTCATCTCTTACTGTTTCAAATTCAGAAGCAGCTTTTCCAGTCCTTCAAAGATCAAAATTCTGGACTCTTACTCTCTTTTATTTCTGCTTGTGTATTATCTGATTCTTCATGAACTTATCCTTTTCTCTTAATAATTAGCCAAACAGCCAAAAGTAGGAAACACGGCATATCATTTCCCTCCCAAGTTACTTCTACTAAATATTTGACAATGTGTAACATGGATTATGATTGTTCCAGCCTCTGATATCAATTTCTTTACTACTCACCACCTGTTGCCTCCCACCCAACCACTCAGCCAGTGCCACATATTTATGTTATGAAGGCAACACTCTCCTTCAAGAGAAGTAAAGCATTTGGGCATAGGATCTTTCCGTGGCTAACTACTTTTGTCCCAGGAGAAGTGATAAAAGGAGTCTCAATACCTTCCTCTCGAGGCAGTTGCCCAATTGTTGGCAAGACCCCTTTCTTACCTGCTTCAACAGTGGTGTTTCCAGATATGCATATATTTCCAAAAACAAAACACAACAAAGACAAGTAGACAGCCAAAATCTTTGTAGTGCAGTCTGGAACTTCAAAAAGTCATTTCCTTAGATAGAGAATAAAGGGGCAGTAGAAAAATCTTTTTGACTGATCTTTTCCTTTTGGCACTTAAAATTTCCCTTTCGTTGCTTAATTTAAAAGAAACAAATTAGGTTTTGCCCAGAAAAGGGAATTATACTTGATTGTTTCAAGGCTTTAAAGCATATAGATTTATTTCTTTAAAAAGAAGAAAGAAAAAAAGGAAATAAGGAGTATATTTATTTTCTTACATGATTTTATATCTTGAACAAGTTGAGATGGAACTCTCTCAATTCACTGGGAGATGAAATTTTTTTTGGAAGGAAAGGTACAGCCATAATTATTTTAAAATTGGCAGGACATTTAATTAGAACAGAAAGCAAGATAATGCCACTATGAAGAGGAATTGGGAGCTGGGAGCAAACCTGCTCCTTGGACAGCACTCACAGCTGGTCCAGTTTTGGTCCTGCCGGGGTCATTCAACCCTGTGGACACAGCATGAAGATCGAAAAGAGCTGATAACAGATCTCAATTCAGGAGAGTAGTCAACAAGGATGAATCAAAGATGAGACTGTTGGGTGTCCAGTCATAGAGAAAGGGCATGGCAGTGACTAATCTCAGAAATGCAGGAAGGCAGTGTGAGGATACTGTGGTGGGAATTCTGGTGCAAGGTTATGGACCCTAGAAAGGGGGCATGATGTTTAAGAACATCAGTAAATGATTCCAAAGTTTGAAAGTTGGGGATCATCTTTGATTTAACTCTGTCTCCCACTCTACAAACCATGAATCACAGACTCAGTCTATCCTAGTTCTGAACTTCCCTTCTTTCAAATATGTTGTATTTTCATTATCCCTGGTGCACATCAGAGCTATTTAATGGTTTTCTCTGCATTTGTTTTGTGAACATCTAAATCATTCTCCAACATACAGGGTAGAATATTAAAACTTTAAATCTCTTTATGTATCTTACCATCTTAGGATTCTACAAAGTTTTTTTCATGTTTCTTGAATCAAAATATCTAAGTTCCTAATATGGCTTTTTTTAAGGATCCATGATCTGTCCTTTTCCTTCCCCTGCAGCTTACCTGTACCCATTTCCATGTTCCGTCTACCTAGGTGGGGTTGGATACCTTTTAGTGCCTCGGAAGTACCTTCCTTCCTCCATGCTACTTCCCTAGAGACTTCACACTTGCTCTTGCCTCTGCTTGGAACATTTTAAAATCCTTTTCCCTCTCTCCTTCTTTTCTTCATAACACCAATCATACTTGTTTAACATGAGGAGAAACATCCTCTTTGTCTTCTTGGCTATTGATTGTCCCCAGAGTCCTTCATAGTGCTTGGCATATTGATATATTTTATTGTTAATTTTTAAATACTGTTATTTTTGGATGGTTGAAATAAAGAGTGATGGAATTACAAAGGACTATGCAGGACTTATAATACCACCTTACATTACAGAATTGAAATGAACAGTTGGATACTATTCAGAAGTGTATTGATTAGGACAATTTTACTTAAATAGACAGGGTAAAGATAATCACTACTGAAAAAAATCTTCCTTTGCACAGCTAAATCAAAACTAATTGAAAGTAGACTTCTTGGGTAGCTTCATTAATTCATTAAGTCCCTATGTTGCCTATGACTGTTACGTCAGGACTGTGAAGGGTCTGAGATTTTACCCTATTAGAAATCTAATCAGTTAGCCTGACACAGTTTTACACACATTGACTAATGAAAAACATGAGGTTGCTGAGTCAGAGTTTATTATTCATGGCAAAATAGCAGCCAGGGCAATATCTTGTGTTGGTTCCCTGAGCTCCAGTCCCCACAGAAAGATGCACTGAAGACCAGATGGTACCTGCATACACAGTAGAAAGGTGGAGGTAGAAGTTTAGGAACTCGGATCTTAAGTAGGACTGCTGATGACCTTTCTCTCTCTCTCTCTCTCTCTCTCTCTCTCTCTCTCTCTCTCTCTCTCTCTCAATCTCTATCTCTTGATCTCATCTTTGCTCCAGAATCTAAGCACATCCTCTCTGTGCACAGAGTAGGCGGGGCTTTACTGTTCTAGAATGTGTCTG